>NC_000006.12:514545-666060 GCF_000001405.40 Homo sapiens | reverse complement strand
AAGCAGCCTTAGATGACATGGAATCAAATGAATGTGGCTGTGTTCTGATAAAACTTTATTCACAAGAATAGGTAGCAGACCACATTTCTCTTGATGACTATAATTTTTTGACTCTTATTTTTATTTTTATTTTCTGTAAGTTATTGGGGTACAGGTGGTATTTGGTTACATGACTAAGTTCTTAGTGGTGACTTGTGAGATTCTGGTGCACCCATCACCCAAGCAGTGTACACTGCACCACATCCTGTAGTCTTTTATTCCTCAACCCCCTCCCCCTCTTCCCCCCAAGTACCCAAAGTCCATTGTATCATTCTCATGCCTTTGCATCCTCATAGCTTAGATCCCACATATCAGTGAGAACACACGATGTTTGGTTTTCCATTCCTGATTTACTTCTCTTAGAATAATAGTCTCCAATCTCATCCACGTCACTGCAAATGCTATTAATTCATTCCTTTTTATGGCTGCATAGTATTCCATTGTATATATATACCACAGTTTCTTTATCAGCTCATTGATTGATGGGCATTTGGGTTTTCCACGATTTTGCAATTGTGAATTGTGCTGCTATAAACGTATGTGCAAGAATCTTTTTTGAATATTCAGTTATTTTCTTCTGGGTAGATACCCAGTAGTGGGATTGCTTGATCAAATGGTAGTTCTACTTTTAGTTCTTTAAGGAATCTCCACACTGTTTTCCATAGCAGCTGTACTAGTTTGCATTCCCACCAGCAGTGTAGAAGTGTTCCCTGTTCACCGCATCTACACCAACATGTACTGGTTTTTGATTTTTCGATTATGGCCATTCTTGTAGGAGTAAGATGCTATTGCATTGTGGTTTTGATTGGCATTTCCCTGATCATTAGTGATGCTGAGCATTTTTTTCATATGTTTGTTGGCCATTTGTATATCTTCTTTTGAGAGTTGCCTATTCATGTCCTTAGCCCATTTTTTGATGTGATTGTTTTTTTTCTTACAGATTTGTTTGACTTCATTGTAGATTCTGGGTATTAGTCCTTTGTCAGATGTATAGATTGTGAAGATTTTCTCCCCCTCTGTGTGTTGTCTGTTTACTCTGCTGTTTCTTTTGCCATGCAAAAGCTCTTTAGTTTAGTTAGGTCCCAGCTATTTATCTTTGTTTTTACTGTCTTTGCTTTTGGGTTCTTGGCATGAAATCCTTGCCTAAGCCAATGTCTAGAAGGGGTTTTCCAACATTATCTTCTAGAATTTTTATAGTTTCAGGTCTTAGGTTTAAGTCCTTAATCCACCTTGAGTTGATTTTTGTATAAGGTGAGAGACGAGGATCCAGTTTTATTCTCCTACATGTGGCTAGCCAGTTATACTAGCACCATTTGTTGAAATGGGTGTCCTTTCCCCACTTTATGGTTTTGTTTGCTTTGTCAAGGATCAGTTGGCTGTAAGTATTTGGCTTTATTTCTGGGTTCTCTATTCTTTTCCACTGGTCTGTGTGTCTGTTTTTATACCAGTACCACACTGTTTTGGTGACTATGGCCTTATAGTATAGTTTGAAATCAGGTAGTGTGATGCCTCCAGATTTGTTGTTTTTGCTTAGTCTTGCTTTGGCTATGCGGGCTCTTTTTTGGTTTCATATGAATTTTAGAATTGCTTTTTCTAATTTTGTGTAGAGTGATGGTGGTAGGATTGCATGGAATTTGTAGATTGCTTTTGACAGTATGGTCATTTTCACAATATTGATTCTACTCATCCATGAGCATGGGATGTGTTTTCATTTTTTTGTGTCATCTACAATTTCTTTCAGCAGGGTTTTGTAGTTTTCTCTGTAGAGGTCCTCCGAAAGACCTGTTTTTGGTTAGGTATATTCCTAAGTATTTTATTTTATTTTATTTTTGCAGCTATAGTAAAAGGGGTTGAGTTCTTGATTTGATTCTCCACTTGGTTGCTTTCGCTATAGAGAAGAGCTACTGATTTGTGTACATTAATCTTGTATCTGGAAACTTTGCTGAATTCTTTTATCAGTTCTAGGAGCTTTCTGGTGGAGTCCTTAGAGTTTTCAAGGTAAACGATAATATCTTCAGCAAACAGTGACAGATTGACTTCCTCTTTACCGATTTGGATGCCTTTCTTTCTCTTGTCTGATTGCTCTGGCTAGGACTTGCAGTACTATGTTGAAGAGGAGTGGTGAGAGTGGGCATCCTTGTCTTGTTCCCGTTCTCAGAGGGAATGCTTTCAACTTTTCCCCATTCAGTATTATGTTGGCTGTGGGTTTGTCATACATGGCTTTTATTACATTAAGGTATGTCTCTTGTATGTCAGTTTTGCTGAGAGTTTTAATTATAAAGGGAAGTTGGATTTTGTCAAATGCTTTTTCTGTGTCTATTGAGATGATCATGTGATTTTTGTTTTTAATTCTGTTTATGTGGTGTATCATATTTATTGACTTGTGTATGTTAAACTACCCCTGCATCCCTGGTATGAAACTCCCTTGATCATGGTGGATTATCTTTTTGATATGTCGCTGGATTCAGTTAGCTAGTATTTTGTTAAGGATTTTAGCATCTATGTTCATCAAGGATATTGGTCTGTAGTTTTCTTTTTTGTTATGTCCTTTCCTGGTTTTGATATTAGGGTGATGCTGGTTTCATAGAATGAATTAGGGAGGGTTCCTTCTTTATCTTGTGGAATAGTGTCAAAAGGATTGGTACCAATTCTTTGAGTGTTTGGTGGAATTCTGCTGTGAATCCCTCTGGTCCTGGACTTTTCTTTGGTGGTAATTTCTTAATTACCATTTCAATCTTGCTGCTTGTTATTGGTCTGTTCGGGGTGTCTATTTCTTCCTGATTTAAGCTAGGAGGGTTATATTTATCCAGGAATTTATCCATCTCTTCTAGGTTTCTAATTTATGTGTGTAAAGGTGTTCATATTAGCCTTGAGGGATCTTTTGTATTTCAGTGGTGTCAGTTGTAATATCTCCTGTTGCATTTCTTAGTGCGATCATTTGGCTTTTCTCTCTTCTTTTGTTGGTTAATCGTGCTCATGGTCTGTCAATTTTATTTATCTTTTCAAAGAACCAGGATTTGTTTTTTTTTTTGAGACAAAGTCTTGCTCTGCCACCCAGGCTGGAGTGCAGTGGTGTGATCTCGGCTCACTGCAGCCTCCACCTTCCAGGTTCAAGCAGTTCTCCTGCCTCAGCCTTGTAGAACCAGCTTTTTGTTTCATTTATCTTTTGTATTTTGTTGGTGTTTTTTCAATTTCATTTAATTCTGCTCTGATCATGGTTATTTCCTTTTTTCCGCTGGGTTTGGGTTTGGGTTTGGTTTGTTCTTGTTTCTCTAGTTCCTTGAGGTGTGACCTTAGAGCATCTGTTTGTGCTCTTTCAGACTTTTTGATACAGGTGCTTGGGGCTATGAACTTTCCTCATGGCACCACCTTTGCTGAATCCCAGAGGTTTTGATAGGTTGTGTCATTATTGTCATTCAGTTTGAAGAATTTTTTAATTCCCATCTTGATTTTGTTTTTGACCCAATGCTCATTTGGGAGCAGGTTATTTAATTTCCATGTATTTGCATGGTTTTGAAGGTTCTGTTTGGAGTTGATTTCCAGTTTTATTTTACTGTGGTCTGAGAGAGTGCTTGATATAATTTCAATTTTCTTAAATTTATTGAGGCTCATTTTATGGCCTGTCATATAGTCTATCTTGGAGAAAGTTCCATGTGCTGTTGAATAGAATGTATATTCTGCAGTTGTTGGATGAAATGTTTTGTATATATCTGTTAAGTCCATTTGTTCCAAGGTATCATTTAAATCCGTTGTTTCTTTGTTGACTTTCTGTCTTGATGACCAGTCTAGTGCTGTCAGTGGAGTATTGAAGTCCCCCACTATTATTGTGTTTCTGTTTGTCTCATTGCTTAGATCTATTAGTAATTGTTTTATAAATTTGGGAGCTCCAGTTTTAGTGCATATATGTTTAGGATTGTGATATTTTCCTGTTGAATAAGGCCTTTTACCATTACATAATGTCCCTCTTTGTCTGTTTTAACTGCTGTTGCTTTAAAGTTTGTTTTGTCTGATATAAGAATAGCTACCCCTGCTCTCTTTTGGTGTCCATTTGCATGAAATGCCTTTTTCCACCCCTTTACTTTAACTTTATGTGAGTCCTTATGTGTTAGCTGAGTCTCCTGAAGGCAGCAGATTGTTGGTTGGTGAGTTCTTATCCATTCTGTGGTTCTGTATCTTTTAAGTGGAGCATTTAGGCCATTTACTTTCAGCGTTAGCATTGAAATGTGAGGTACCATTGCTTTCATCATGCTCTTTTTGGCCTGTGTACTTTTTTTTTGTTTGTTTTTGCTTTGTAACGTGTATTTTTGTTATAGGTCCTGTGTGATTTATGCTTTAAAGAGGTTCTGTTTTGTTGTGTTTCCAGGATTTGTTTCAAGAGTTAGAGCTCCTTTTAGCAGTTCTTGTAGTGGTGGCTTGGTAATGGTGAATTCTCTCAGAATTGGTTTGAAAACAACTGTATCTTTCCTTCATATATGATGCATAGGTTCAATGGATACAAAATTCTTTGTTGATAATTGGTTTGAGGAGGCTGAAGATAGGGCCTCAACCCCTTCTAGCTTATAGGGTTTCTGCTGAGAAATCTGCTGTTAATCTGATAGGTTTTCCTTTATAGACTACCTGGTGCTTCTATCTCACAGCTCTTAGTCTTAGCTCTTTCCTTAGTCTGAACTGTGTATAACCTGATGACAGTGTGCCTAGGTGATGATCTTTTTGCAATGAATTTCCCAGGTGTTCTTTGTGCTTCTTGTATTTGGATGTCTGGGTCTCTAGCAGGGCTGGGGAAGTTTTCCATGATTATTCCCCATGTTTTCCAAGCTTTTAGAATTCTCTTCTTCCTCAGGAACACCGATTATTAGGTTTGGTCATTTAACATAACCCCAGACTCCTTGGAGGCTTTGTTCATATTTTCTTATTCTTTTTTATTTGTCATTGTTGGATTGGTTAATTTGTAGACCTTCGAGCTCTGAATTTCTTCCTTCTACTTGTTCATTTCCATTGCTGAGGCTTTCCAGAGTATTTTGCATTTCTAAAAGTGTGTCCAAAGTTTCCTGAATTTTTGATTGTTTTTTCTTTAAGCTATCTATTTCCTTGAATATTTCTCCCTTTACTTTTTGTATTGTTTATTTGATTTCCTTGCATTGGGCTCCGCCTTTCCCTGATCCCTCCTTGATTAGCTTAATAACTAACCTCCTGAATTTTTTTTTCAGGTAAATCAGGGATTCCTTCATGGTTTAGATCCATAGCTGGTGAACTAGTGTGATTTTTTCGGGGGTGTTGAAGAGCCTTGTTTTGTCATATTACCGGGGTTGGTTTTCTGGTTCCTTCTCATTTGGGTAGCCTTGTCAGAGGGAAGGTCTAGGGCTGAAAGCTGTTGTTCAGATTCTTTTGTCCCACAAAGTGTTCCCTTGATGTAGTGCTCTCCCCATCTTCCTGTGGATGTGGCTTCCTGTGAGCCAGACTGCAAGATTGTTGTCTCTCTTCTGGGTCTAGCACCCAGCGAGTCTACCCAGCTCTGTGCTGGTACTGGGGGTTGCCTGCACAGAGTCCTGTGATGTGAACCATCTATGGTCTCTCAGCCGTGAATGTGAATATCAGCGCCTGTTCCAGTGGAGGTGGCGGAGGGTGCAATGGACTCCCTGAGGGAGGGTCCTTAGCTTTGGTGGTTTAATGCTCTAGTTTGGTGCTAGTTGGCCTTTTGCCAGGAGGTGGTGCTTTCCAGAAAGCATCAGCTGTAGTAGTGTGGAGAGGGACTGGCAGTGGGCGGGGCCCTAGAACTCCCAAGATTATATGTCCTTTGTCTTCCACTACCAGGTTGGGTAGGGAAGGACCATCGGGTTGGGGGGGATGGGTGGGTCTTGGGGGATGGGGGTGGAGTTCTGTACCTAGGGGGATTATGGCTGTCTCTGCTGAGTCATGCAGGTTGTCAGGGAAGTGGGGGAAAGTCTGCAGTCACAGGCCTCACCCAGCTCCCACGCAAAACTGAAGGGCCAGTCTCACAACCACCGTGCCCCCCGTGTCCCCCCCCCAACAGCCCTGAGTGGCAAGACGGCTTGAAAATCTGCCCCAGGCTACCTGCCTCCCAGCTGCGAACTAAAAAGGCTGGGTTCTGTCCCCGCCTGTGGAGTCTGCACACCAGATTTGCGTCCTCTCCCAAGTTCTGGCCAGGAGGCTTCTCAGTCCCTTGAAATTGTTACAAAGTTCAGTTAGAGATTTCCTTCTCCCTGTGGAGTTGTACCCCCTGCTCCTCAGGCCACCTTCCAGATGGATCCCTGTGGTGCCAGGCAGGAATGGCCTGCAAGGGGACACAGTGAGCTCCCAGGGCTTTTCTGCTGCCTCTACCCCTGTGTTTCGCTCACCCCTCCAGATTGACTCAGCTCCAGGTAAAGTCGGAAACTTCTCCCGCAAACAGACCTTCAGCTTCTCCAGTGGGAGTGTGTGTTCGGGAGAGGAAGGGCTCCTTTTCCCACTTCCACAGTTGGGGCACTCACAGTATTTGGAGTGTCTCCCAGGTCCTGCAAGAGCAGTTTACTTCCTTCAGAGGGTCTGAGATTGCTGGTTTGTTCTTGCAGTCTATCTGGGGCTAAAATTCACAATGCGAGCCTTCGCATGCTGCTCTGTCTGGACCTGTGATCTAAAATTCCATGGAGGGCAGTTAGGGAAAACACCTAAAAAGACTCTTGGGGGCGCTAATGACAGTTTGGGAAACACTGCTCTAGAGGATTCGTCATTAGTTACAAATAAGACAAAGATGCTTTCTGGCACCACTGTTATTCAGCAGTGTTTTGAAAATTACAGCAAACGCAATGTCAGTTAAATAAATGACATAAACTTTGAAGAGTAAAAGCCATAATTACAGTACATGAAGATAGTAAGATTTTCTACATTAGAGACATAAAAGGTCAATTGAAAAATGATTTCAGGAGAGCTCAGTGACTTGACTGACTTCAAGATACTGTATATTATGTGAACTCCCTAAGAACAGAACTGAATAATTCATTGACAGTCATAAAAAATGGTTTGAATAAGTGGGAGGATTTAATGTAAATATTTTAAATATCTTGGCTGGGCGCAGTGGCTCACGCCTATAATCCCAGCACTTTGAGAGGCCAAGGTGGGCAGATTACCTGAGATCAGGAGTTCGAGACCAGCCTGGCCAACATGGTGAAACCTCGTCTTTACTAAAAATACAAAAATTAGCTGGGCATGGTGGCAGGCGCCTGTAATCCCAGCTACTCGGGAGGCTGAGGCAAGAGAATCGCTTGAACCTGAGAGGTAGAGGTCGCAGTGAGCCGAGATCACGCCATTGCACTCTAGCCTGGGCGACAAAAGCAAGACTTCGTCTAAAAAAAAAAAAAATATATATATATATATATATAAAATATATATATATATTTTAAATATCCTGAAATTATCTTGAAATTTATACATTTCATACATTCATTTAAAAATTTGTGTTGAACACCAGTTGCATGGCAAATACTGTTCTAAATGCTGGGTGTACAGCAGTGTATGGAACAGATAAGAACTCCTCTAACTTACATCATTGTGGTTAGAGCTAGACGGCAAACAAAGAAGTCTAAGTATGTACTATATCAGGCTGGTGATAATTCCCATCAGAATTCCAGGAAGATTATTTTTAGACTCTGACAAAATATTTTAGAATTCATCTGGAGCAGTATCTGTGAGAGAATGAGAGAAGTTCTGAAAGATTGTCCTATTCGATATTGAAATATAATACAGAAATTAAATCACTGGTACAGGTTCAAGATAGGGCAGTGGGAGAAAATATAGAGAGGGCCAGGAAACATTCAAGCAAAAATGAGAATTTTTGTCTAAAACAAAATTGACATTTCAGGTTAGTGGAGAAGTGGATTGTTTAGTGAATTATGTGTATCAGCTAGGCATTCGGTACTCCAAAAAAGATTTCAACTGAGTCAAACAACTAAGTCATAAAAACAGATAACATTAAAGTACCAGAAACAGGACTTTGAAAGCATGACCCTAGAAGTAGTAGAGAAAAGGTCAATAGGTTTGACATGAAAATACTCAGTATTTCCCAAGGGCAAAGAATACCAAAAACAGTGTGAAAAGTCACATGATAAACTGGGGAAGATATTTACAGTACATGTAATGGACAGAGGGTTAATGTTCTTGCTAGATATCTTAAAATCAAGAAAAATAAACTCAGTAAAAAGATGCAAAGGGCATAAGATGGAATTCACACACAGTGCAAGTTGAATTTTTTTTTTTTTTTTTTGCCTGCCAGAGTGCTACAGGTAAAACAGATTGCTACTACCCAGTGTTGCTGGTGGGCTAGAGTGTTCATGTAGCTTTCTGCAGGCCAGTCTGAGAATATTTATTAGGATTTTAAAAGTGCATTCATTGACCAGCACTTCACTTCTGAATTTAATGCAAGGAAATAGTTGGGTAAATGGGCAAAACTATTTTGTACAAAAATATTCATTGTGTTCATAATAGCAAAAAATTGGAAATCATCCAAATGTCATTTGTGTTATAACTCCATACACTGGAAAAGTGAGCAGCCATGAAGATGGTGTAGATTTGTTTCACCAGCATGGAAAGGTGCCTGTTACATATTTAAGTGTGAAGATGAGGTTGTAAAATGTATGCCTGGTATGCTATGATTTCATAAGACACGTGGAACTATATCTTCTTATATGCCGATTGATGAAGATGGAATCAGTGTATATACCAAAGAGATTAAAAGTGGTTCTTTATCTGAGTGATGATTTTGTCTTCATTGTGTTTAGAATACTAAGAAGTTTCAGCAGTGGAATGCCTACTCTTCTTATAACCGGAGTGGAAACGGAAGCATTTTGTGAGAGGGCTGGAGGGAAGGTGAGAACGGGCGTTGGGAGGCCCTTCCGTGGCTCCAGGCCTAGGGCTGCGGAACCCACAACAGAACCCGCAACCGCAACCGGGAACCCGAGTGCCTGCCTAGCTGGGGGGCCGGAGGGAGGGCGGGGAGGGCAGCGCCACGGACCCCAGCGGACCGGAAGGGCTTGTGGCACGCGGAATCCCCCTCAGAGGCCCCCAGCTGCCTTCCCTGTGGCATCATGAAGTTTCGCGCCAAGATCACCGGCAAAGGCTGTCTAGAGCTGTTCATTCACGTCAGCGGCACCGTCGCGAGGCTAGCGAAGGTCTGCGTGCTCCGCGTGCGCCCTGACAGCCTGTGCTTCGGCCCCGCGGGTTCCGGCGGCCTCCACGAGGCCAGGCTGTGGTGCGAGGTGCGGCAGGGGGCCTTCCAGCAGTTTCGCATGGAAGGTGTCTCGGAAGATCTCGATGAGATCCACCTGGAGCTGACGGCGGAGCACCTGTCCCGGGCGGCGAGAAGCGCAGCGGGCGCGTCCTCCCTGAAGCTGCAGCTGACCCACAAGCGCCGCCCCTCCCTCACGGTGGCGGTGGAGCTGGTCTCGTCCCTGGGCCGCGCTCGCAGCGTGGTGCACGATCTGCCCGTGCGGGTGCTTCCCAGGAGAGTGTGGCGGGACTGCCTGCCGCCCAGCCTGCGCGCCTCCGACGCGAGCATCCGCCTGCCGCGCTGGAGGACGCTGAGGAGCATCGTGGAGAGGATGGCGAACGTGGGCAGTCACGTGCTGGTGGAAGCAAACCTCAGTGGCAGGATGACCCTGAGTATAGAGACGGAGGTGGTGTCCATTCAAAGTTATTTTAAAAATCTTGGAAACCCTCCCCAGTCGGCTGTGGGTGTGCCTGAAAACAGAGACCTGGAGAGCATGGTGCAAGTGCGGGTGGACAATCGGAAGCTTCTGCAGTTTTTGGAGGGACAGCAAATACATCCTACGACGGCCCTGTGCAATATTTGGGACAATACTCTTCTTCAGCTTGTTTTGGTTCAAGAAGATGTCTCTCTTCAGTATTTCATTCCTGCCTTGTAAAAATTCAGCCAGCTTAGATTTTTTTTTTAAGGTTTTGATCTTTTCAAAACTAAAACAGACCCTGAGTTAATTGGGTTGAAAATTTGGACCTTCACTGACTTATGCAGGGCGTATATTTTGTTGAGCCCTTCCTCCTTTGCAAAATTTATATTAAAGCATTGGTAAAACAGTTGGGTAGTTCATGTTTTGTTTATTGGGTTTGTCAGGTTTTTTTCCTGCTTAAGATTCTATCAAAGTTATTCTTCAACTCTTTTTTTCGGGGGGGAAAAACAGGGTTGTAATGAAATAAGTATTTTTGAATCCTGAAACAATTGCATCAGTATTTTATTATAAAATGCTGCTGTGTAAAGCGGGAAAGTTCTCCTTTTAAAATATGTATGAATGTTTTCCGAGGGCATTTCTTATGTAGAGAGCTAAATATATCTGCAAGATAAAAGGTATTTAGCATGTGTGTGCATTACATATTCTTTGTTAAGCCGTGTTCTGTATAGGATATGTCAAAGAATATATCAGTGTACATGGTTTTTAGATTTATTATCTACATAGTTTGAATTGCTTATTAGGTTCATTTTTCACATGTATCATATTCACATTAGAAATCAAGGAAATATAGGCATGTCTCAGAGATACTCCAAGTTTGGTTCCAGACCACTGCAAAAAGCAAATATTGCAATAAAGACAGATGAGTTTTTTGGATTTTCAGTACATATAAAAGTTATGTTTGCATTATACTGTAGTCTGTTGAGAGTACAATAGTACTATGTCTAAAAAATGTACACATCTTAATTTTAAAATACTTCATTGGTAAAAAATGCTGCTGCTCATCTGAGCCCTCAGCAAGTCATAATCTTTTTGCTGGTGGGAGGTCTTTACCTCCCTCTTGATAGCTGCTGACTGATTCCAGTGGTGGTTGTTGAAGGCTCAGGTAGCTGTGGCAATTTCTTAAAATAAAGTAGTTAACTTGCTGGATCGATTGACTTTCATGAAAGATTTCTCTTTAGCATGGGATGCTTTGGGTATTTTATCCACAGTAGAACTTCTTTCAAAACAGTCCTCTCAGACCCTGCCACTGGTTTATCAACCAAGTTTATACACTGTACTAAATCTTTTGTTGTTGTTTCAACAGTTTTCACAGCATCTTCAGGATGCTGTGATTCCATCCAGGAGTAGATTCTATCTCAAAAAAGTCACTTTCTTTGCTTATGTATAAGAAGCAACTCTTCATCTGTTTGTTTTATCTTAAGAGTGTAGCAATTCCTTAAGGCTCTACTTTTTTTTTTTTTTTTTTTTTTTTTTTTTTTTTTGAGACAGGGTCTTACTCTGTCACCCAGACTGGAATGCAGTGGTACAATCATGGCTCACTGCAGCTTCAAACTTCTGAGCTCAAACGATCCTCCTGCCACAGCCTCCCCTGTAGCTGGGACTACAGGCTCATGCCACCATGCCCAGCTAACTTTTTAATTTTTCTTTTGTAGAGAGGGAGTCTCACTATGTTGACCAGGCTGGTTTTGAACTTCTGTCCTCAAGCAATCCTCCCGCCTTAGCCTTCCATAGTGCTGGGATTACAGGCATGAGCCACCATGCCCAGCCTCTACTTCTAATTTTAGTTCTCCTGCTACTTCCACCATACTTGCGGTGACATCCTCCACCAAAGTCTTGAACTCCTTAAAGTCATCCGTGCTGGTTGGAATCAACTTCTTTTTTATTCCTGTTAATGTTGATATTTTTACCTCTTCCCATGAATCATCAGTGTTCTTAATGCCATCTAGAATGATGAATCCTTTCCAGAAAGTTTTCCATTCACTTTGCCAAGATCCATTAGAGAATCAGTATCCATGGCAGCTATAAACGTACAAAATTTATTTCTGAAATAATAAGACTTGCAAGATGAAATTACTCCTTGATCCATGAACTGCGGAATGGATATTGTGTTAGCAGTCATGAAAACATTCATCTCCTTTTGTATCTTCACCAGAACTCTTGAGTGACCAGGTGCATTGTTAATGAACAGTGATATTCTGAAAGAAATCTTTTTTTCTGAGGATTAGGTTTCAACAGTGGGCTTAAATTATTCACTAAACCAGATGCTGTAAACAGATGTGCTGTCATGTAGGCTCTGTTGTTCTATTGATAGAACACAGGCAGAGTAGATTTATCATAATTCTTAAGGGCCCTAGGATTTTCAGAATGGTAAGTGAGCATTGGCTTCAACTGAAAATTACCAGCTACATTAGCCCCTAACAACAGAGTCAACCTGTCCTTGAAGCTTTGAAGCCAGGTATTGACTTCTCCTCTCTAGCTATGAAAGTCCTAGATGGCATCTTCTTCCAATTGAAGGCTATTTGTCTTCAATGAAAATGTGTCGTTGAGTGTAGCCACCTTCATCAGTGATCTTATAATAGCTAGATCTTCTGGATAACTTGCTGCAGCTTCTGCATAAGTACTCATTGCATCACCTTGCATTTTTATGTTCTGGAAATAGCTTCTTTCCGTAAACCTTATGAACCATCCTCTAACTACAGCCTTTTCTTCTGCAGCTTCCTCACTTCTCTAAGCCTTCATAGCATTGAAGAGAGTTAGGGCTTTACACTGGGTTAGGTTTTGGCTTAAGGGAATGTTGTGGCTGGTTTATCTTCAATCTAGATCACTCACACTTTCTCCATATCAGCAATAAAGCTGTTTTAGTTTGTTATCATTCGTGTGTTCACTAGAGTAGCAATTTTAATTTCCATCAATAATTTTTCCTTTGCATTCACAGCTTGGCCAATTGTTTGCCACAAGAAGGCCTGGCTTTAGACTGTCAGGTCATTAGACATGGCTTCCTTACTAAGCTTAATTATTTCTAGCTTTTGATTTACAGTGAGAGACTTGAAACTCTTGCTTTCACTTGAGCACTTAGAGGCCGTTGTAGGATTATGAATTGGCCTACTTTCAATATTGTCGCATCTCAGGGAATAGGGAGGCTTGAGGAGAGGGAGAGAGAATGCTGGTTGGTGGAACAGTCACACACACATTTATCAATTAAGTTCCCTGTCTCATATGAGCATGGTTTGTGGTGCCCCGGAACAGTTACAATAGTATCATCAAAGAACACTCATCACAGATCACCATGACAGATGTAATGATAATGAATAAGTTTGAGATAATGCAAGAATTACCAAAATGTGACACAGAGACATGGAGTGAGCACATGCTTTTAGAAGAATGGCACTGATAGGCTTGCTTGATGCAGGGTTGTCACAAACCTTCAATTTGTAAAAAGTGCAGTATCTGAGTAGTACAGTAAAGTGAAGCACAATAAAAGGAGGTAAACTGTAGTCAAGTTCATGTTAACCAAAATGTTGCTTTAAGGGTAATTTTTGGATAAATCAGGTTTCCATTCATCCTCTTCCCTTCCCCACCCCCAGCCCCGCCAGTATTCCAGTACTTTACTTAGAAAATAATTCTTAATGTTTCATTGTTTTGAGAAAAACGAAGAGAGGTTATAAAAGGATGGTATAGTGATGAACAGTCTCAGGGAGAGGAGTAGCTTATATTCTTTTATATTAAATTTTAGTTTAGTTTTTTTGGTGGCTTATGCAGTAAGATAAGCCATTAACTTGGCAACCTTTATGTTTACATAGTAAATTCCCATGACTACATTTTTATCAGTAATGAAGAGTTTCCTACTAGATTTGGTGATAAAACACTTAAACTTGTTAATTTATTTTGTTTTGGTGATTTCTAAATTCCACCTGTGGTAGTGTGGAAAGAACACACAAACATTGGACCCAGGCGAGTCGCTTGAACCCTCTGGCTTACTAAGATGTGTTTCCGTTGGGCTAGATTCTGATTTAATGCTATTAAAGTTATAACATGGGAAGTTTAAACAGTTGTTTTCAAAAGTATTTCTGAAGTAGTCTTTAAAAATTATTAATAACCACTTTGGAGGTATAGTGTATGCTCTTTGAAACTATTTACTTCATATCTTCTGAGTTACGTACAAAAATATGTGAATTATTTTGTTTGGTGAGTATTTTCAGAGCTGTTTGTGAAGTTTTTTTTTTTTTTTTGAGATGGAATCTCACTCTGTCGCCCAGGCTGGAGTGCAGTGGCGTAATCTTGGCTCACTGCAACCTTCGCCTCCCGGGTTCAAGCGATTCTCCTGCCTCAGTCTCCTGAGTAGCTGGGATTACAGGCGCGCACCACCGCACCCGGCTAGTTTTTGTATTTTTAGTAGAGGTGGGGTTTCACTATGTTCATCAGACTGGTCTCGAATTCCTGACCTTATGATCTGCCCGCCTCGGCCTCCCAAAGTGCTGGGGTTACAGGCGTGAGCCACTGTGCCCGGCCTGTGAAGATTTTTAATCAAGCCATTTTTTGGTTCATTTAAAAAATCTTCTGCCCTCATGAGCACTTCTGTAGACTTTATTTTTTATTTTTTTATTATTTATTTATTTATTTATTTATTTTTCTGAGACGGAGTCTTGCTCTGTTGCCCAGGTTGGAGTGCAGTGGCACAATCTTGGCTTACCCTAACCTCGGCCTCCGGGTTCAAGTGATTCTCATACCTCAGCTTCCCGAGTAGCTGGGATTACAGGTGCCCACCATCACACCCAGATAATTTTTGTATTTTTATTAGAGATGGGGTTTCACCATGTTGGCCAGGCTGGTTTCAAACTCCTGACCTCAAGTTATCTGCCCGCCTCAGCCTCCCAAAGTGTTGGGATTACAAGCATCAGCCACTACACCTGGCCTTTTGTAGACTTTAAATGCAAGATAAAAATGGAGAACACGGCCGGGCGCGGTGGCTCACGCCTGTAATCCCAGCACTTTGGGAGGCCGAGGCAGGAGGATCACAAGGTCAGGAGATCAAGACCATCCTGGCTAACATAGTGAAACCCCGTCTCTATTAAAAATACAAAAAAAAATTAGCTGGGCATGGTGGCGGGCGCCTGTAGTCTCAGCTATTTGGGAGGCTGAGGCAGGAGAATGGCGTGAACCTGCGAGGCAGAGCTTGCAGTGAGCCGAGATCACACGCTACTGCCCTCCAGCCTGGGCAACAGAGCGAGATTCTGCCTCAAAAAAAAAAAAAAAAGAACACATGCCTTACTACAGTGAGGAAGTTATAAGATCTGCAGGTTTTGATTTTGACATAACAAATTGCTTATCGTGTTTGTTTCAGGCATCTCTTCCAAATTTTTTCCTTTTTAGAAAAATTAAATGAAAATTTTCAAGCTATAATAAAAGATATTTTTTACTAGTTTCATACTCTCTCCTCTTCTTTCCTCCAGTTGTCTGTCTCTAGTTCTGTTGCTTTGTCTTGATGTACTTAATAATACCAACAGAAATGAAAAATCTAATAGTTTGTTTTAGAACATAAATAATTTTACAGTTTAGTCTTTCATGAATTATTATGGTTTACTTTTAATAATTCATTAACAGGGAGTATCTATCAAAAGTTTTATAGCCTAGTTTTGTAATGTAGCTTTTGAAAATGGAAAAGATAATTTATTCTTCTACTTAGGTTATTCCCTAATCTGCAGAGATACGTTGCCTATAATATTAAACATCAATAGACCATCTAAATATAATGTTTTAACTAATATTGTGTAATTATACAGTAAAAACGTTTTACAATACAGAAATTTTAAAATGAATAGCAAGCTATTATTAAAGTTTTTAGTTTAATTGTGAAAAACTAGAGAGTGCCCGTTTCTATAGTCATGCATTAGTTGCTGAATTTAAAAGCTTTGTAAAGGACTCTCCTAGGAACAAGAGCTCAGAGATGCCTTAGAGCTGATCTCATCCAATCATCTTGTTTATAGATAAGAAACGTTTCACAGTGCGTAAAAGTGAACAAGCGTTTTTATTTCCTAATGCCAGAACTCAGTTTAGAACCCAGTCTCCAGACTGTTCATAAATGTTTCAATAGACTTACAGCTTGGATATACTTTTGTTCATTACAATAAATCTAGAGTACCATATGATTGTTTTACTTAATCTATAAAGATAAAATTTAAATTTAAAAAATCTCAAACCTTTTGGAGGGGCATTGTCATTTTGTCCTTGTTTGAAGATGTCCTTTGCTCTTGCAGGCAGGAAGGAATTTATTTGCCACACAAAATGATAATTCAATGAAAATAAAGTCTTACATTAAAAAAAGTCAAAGTCTCAAGTTTACAAATTATTTAAGCATCTTCCATTGTTTCTCATAGGGAGACTACTGAGAAGCAAGAAAACACTATGCCTTTTATGTTTCACTGTATCTGTAGAAAATAAATCATTGGAAAATGTATTAAAGTGCTTTCTTATATCCAGAATTTATTGTCCCACTAGATACCATTTGCTGAAAGCTAAACTGGCTTATTCATATGACAGACTTGTACTTTTTAAACATTTTACTGCTAAAAAGAAATTACTCTTGCGTGTATATTTATTCAGTGAATAGGTTGCCATTATCAAAAGAAATCAGACAAGTGTCTCTTTCCACGGTTAATTTCCATAAGGACCCTCCTAGTTCTGGTTATCCCCATTCGGGTCCAGGCATTTGAGAAATACTTGGTGAATTAACATGAGTCTGGAAACACATCAGAATTATGATTTTTTTTTAAGCAAACCAGTAATTCTCTTTGGTAATGGATAGTACGTAAGTGTGTAGTGTGGTTCTTAGGCTAGGAGCCAGTAAGTAATAATTTGTAGCCCATCTTATATACCTGTGTATATATGTGAAGTTCCCAGTAAGTACTCCCATTCCCCCAACGTTTATTATTTGCCCATTTGCATTATTTAGTACTTTGTATATTATTAGTTTTCTTGTACCAGAATCTGACCTAATAAAAGTTCCTGATTCTCATCTGTATTAACTTTCCTTACATGAGTAATAATAGCTGTTATACCTCTTTATCCCTATGCTTTCCAAAGATAAAATTAGTTTGTGGCCGGGCACAGTGGTGCGGGCCTGTAGTTCCAGCTACTCTGGAGGCTGAGGAAGGAGGATCACTGGAAGCCAGAAATTGGAGGCAGTAATGCACCCTGATCGCACCTGTGAATTTCCACGGCCCTCCAGCATGGGAAACACAACGAGGCTCCGTCTCTTACAAAGAAAAGAGTTAGGGCCCAGTGCAGTGGCTCATGCCTGTAATCCCAGCACGTTGGGAGGCGGAAGCGGGCAGATTGCTTGAGCCTAGGAGTTCAAGAGCAAGACCCTGTCTCTATTAAAAAAAAAATATAACAAAAATTAGGCAGGCATGGTGGTGCATGCCTGTGGTCCCAGCTACTTGTAAGGCTGAGGTGGAAGGATTGCTTGAGCCCAGGAGTTCGAGGCTGCAGTGAGCCGTGGTCACGCTACTGCTCTCCAGCCTGGTTGACAGAGTGATACCTTGTCTCAAAAAAAAAAAAAAAAAAAAAAAGAGTTTTTAAAAGTTTGTGGTATGTGCTTTTAGGATAGGCTTATTCACTTTATTCCTTAGTGCTTTCTTAATTGTCTTAAATGGCTATGAAGTTAAAAGACTATATATTGCTTTAGTTAAACAAATGAGGTTTATGACAGGCAAAGTCAGACTTTTGTTGACCTCCGTTTAGTGTATTTATATAAGAAAGAGCTTATGACACATTTTTGATGTCATTGTTTTATGGCAATTGGAATATTTGTGAGGAAAATTTGTAGACAATGACAACTGTAGACTAGAGCGTTCCTTTAAACTCAAGGGAGTCTGGCATGGATCGTCAAACTGAAAATGTTCAGAAGCTGAATTCTGTTTCCTTAAAGCCTTAGACTCTTTCCTGAGAGTGATAAGAAATTATTTCTTTTATTAGAGATTTTAAACATAAGAGCATTACTTATTGATAAGAACATATCAACAAACATAAGAACATACTATCTTGTAGTATGTTTTTAACTGAAGGCAGGTTGAGAAGAGACATCTCTTCCTATAGTTCATTCACAAATTAC
Organism: Homo sapiens; assembly: GCF_000001405.40. Taxonomy (NCBI): domain Eukaryota; kingdom Metazoa; phylum Chordata; class Mammalia; order Primates; family Hominidae; genus Homo; species Homo sapiens. Next base: position 648,174 of record NC_000006.12, on the reverse strand, counting down.
TGAGTGTATATTATGTCGCAGGCACTGTTGGATGTGCTACGGATACTGCAGTGTGAAAAGCAGATATGTTCTTATATTTGTAAATTAAATGACAGGTCTTCCTGGCATAATGGTCTGTTCTGGTTTGGATATATGTAGGTAATTCTTCATGGTAAGGAAATACGATTGTTGCAAATGAACCAGTGTAATGCCTGTTGGCTTTTCAGTTGTCTGCTTTGTGCGTCTGGAAGACACCTGCCTGTACTCTTCAGTCATAAATAAGAAAGTAGATCAGACTTTTTGATTCATGGCTATCCATGGTGGCCCAGACATTACCTTTTATGACCAGACATTACTTTTAGTTGGACAGATTTTGAGGGTAACATAGTTAAGATTAAGAGCCCTGTGTAAATGACCTCAAAATGGATTTGAAATAGTGGGAGTAAATTGGAATTGCCCTGTCCTAGTTTTTTAGTTTTGCGTTCTTTGAGACCAGAGGTATTCTAATTGCAGTTATGTTTCACACCAGAGTGAGCCAGAGCCCCAGTCACTGGAGACACAATGAAGGTTATTAGAATGTGAGCGGTCACATTCACAAATGACCTCACAGGACATATGGTGGTACAGAAGGAAGAGGATACTAGACTCTTACAGATCCGGTCACCAGGAATCTGGTCTGTTTGACAACTCATCAGGTGTGTGCTCTTGAAAAAGACACTCAGCATCTCTAGGTTACAGTGTCTTCAGGTGAAGAGACTAGATACCAGTTGTGTCAGCTCTCCTTTGGCTCTGATTCTGTGAAATACCACCCCTGCTGATAATCAAAACCGCTGAGGATCTCTGACAGTCTGATGTTTGTACTAATCATCTTTTCAGTAACATTAATGTCAACGGTAATTATTTTCATTAAGTTTTAATACTACTGTTTTTCTGGAAACAAGGAGAGCAGCATATTTCTACTTAAAAATTTGGTTCTTTATGTGATCTAGACCAGAATCTGAAAGTACTCACTTTTAACCACATGCTTATTTAATTTGTGCTGTAATACTGAGGACATACCTTAATAGTGTCAAGAAAATAATTGAATCACCACTCAGTGGAGCCTAATTTTCCATGCCAATTGAAGAAAGTATTTTCCTCTCACAAATTGGTTTGTAAGCATTAATTAATGTGGTGGGTTAATTATCCACATTTTTCTTAATATTTGCTCTCCCTGCAGTGTTTTGGTATCTTTGGAGCAACATGATGTCTGTTTATTGAAGCAGTTGTTGAAGAACTTTGTGTTGAAATATGCCTTTGCTGTCCTATAATTTTTATTAATATGCTACCATACTAAATCTCATGTTTATCAGTTTATAATAGTTTTCTAGCACATTGTCAAAACAAGCTTTCCACACTTTTGTCTGCGTTTAGAAGCATGTTTAAAGAGGTAGCAATAGTGTATTCCAGTAAAATAATAATTCTGAAACATACAATTTTATATAAACGTAACTATTAAATTACCTAGTATCTTTATGTAATATCAGTTTATTCATTGCTTATTTGTGCATTTTGCTGATGTCAAATGTGAAAATAAATATCTTTCAATTTTCAGGAACAATGAGCCTAATATGTTGTGTAGCTTAGCAGGCTAATGTTAATGGGATGTGTTTGTGTTTAATTTCAAAATATTACCAAAGCATTATATTTGATAACTTTTTATTTTGCTATAACTTCAAACTTACAGAAAACTTTCCAGAATAGTAAAAGTAACTCCTATAAACCCCTTACTTACTTCCTTCATTTTGGTGACTAGTAACTCCAGGAAGCCCTTTAACCACGCCCACCAGTTGTTTCCTTTTTCCCCAATTTCTGTATCATTCTGTCCATCTGTCTGTCTATGTTTTTGTGAACCATTTGAAAGTGGGATGAGGCATCATTCCTTGACTCCTAAATACTTCAGTATGTAGTTATTAAGAATAAGGACATTCTCTTATATTATAATACAGTTACCAAAATCAGGAAATAAAATATTGGTACCATACTGTCTAATCCAAAGTTGAAACAGACAAACATGAGGAGCCTTTCTTGATATGAATCACTGAGAAGGATCTGTGAAGTCCCTGTGAAAGATACATAACCCAAATCAAATCAACAGGGATGATCAGACAGAGCCAAATTGATAGGCATTCCATAAAATAACCTGTACTCTTTGAAAATGTCAAGGTCAAGAAAATACTAATTTTTGGTTCTCAGATTGTCTGGTTTGGACAGTGGGCACTGCTTCAGTCTGGCTCTGTGGCCTTTTGACATACACTTCCTTAGTGGTACAGCAGAATCTTTCAGGCTTACCTTGTCCTTGCCCTGCCTCAGCCCTGCATCAGCCATTTCTCCAAGGTCACTGGTTCCTTTCATTGAAAAATGGTATTTGGGAGTTAGATATGCTCATCGCTACTGTTGTATTATTGCTTCTAGCCTCTCTCAATGTACAAAGCTAGAAAATACACACTTGCACACACACATAAATCTACCAGTACACTTCTTTGTCACATACCATATTAAAAACTGAGTTCATATATCTGCCTTTATGAAGAGTCTCCTCAAATCTTTTGCTCAAAAAAAAAAGGGTTGCTTCCTTTGTTATCAGATTGCAAAAGTTCTTTATGTGTTGTTTGTATAAAGTCCTTTGTCATTTGTATCTATTGTGAATATTTCCTTCTAGGCAGTAGTTGCCTATTTATTTTCTCTTGATAAGCAGAAGATTTTAATTTGGATGAAGTCAGAAAATTTAGTGTTTTTCATTGTACTTGTGTTTGTCATATTGAACACAAGTCTTTACCTACGCCCAGGTAATGGAGATAATCTCCTATGTTATCTTCTTTATAGTTTATAATTTTAGTTTTTATGTTTATGAGCCATTTTGAAATAATTTTTGTAAGTGATGTGAGGTTGCAGTTAACATTCCTTTTTTTTTTTTTATGTAGCTATCCAGTTTTTTCAACACCATTAAAATATTTTTCCCATTGAATTACTTTGGTGCCTTGTCAAAACTCATATAATCATATGTGTTTGTTTCTGGATTCTAGTCTATTTCATTCGTCCATTAGTTTATCCTAATGTCAACAACACTGTCTTGATTACTGTAGATTTGTAATAAGTCTTGAAGTCATGAACTGTGTTACAACTTTTTTCTTCCTCCTAAGATTGGTTTGGCTCTTGCTAGATGTTCGAATATCTACTGGAATTTTAGAATGACCTTGACAATATCTCTATATAAGCTTGCATGAATTTATAATCAGTTTGGGGAGAATTGATACTTTAACAACATTGAGTCTTCTGATCCATGGTCATGATATAGATCTTCACTTATTTAGGTCTTTATTTTGTCTCTGCAGTATATTGTAGTTTTTAATGTAGAAGTCTTGTACATTTCTTTTATTAAGTGTATTTTTAGGTATTTGGTTTTATAATGGCATTTTCAAAATTTAAAAAATTTTATTTTCTAATCATTTCCTACTAAAATATGTAAATAACTGATTTTTATATATTGACCATGAATACTAAGTCTTTGCTAAATTCGGCTATTAGTGCTATTAGTTGCTTAGTAGATTTCTTAGGATTTTTTATATAAGCAATCATGTCATCTGCAAATAGATGTTTACTTCTTCCTTTGCCATCTTTCTGCTTTTTATTTCTTTAATTCGCCCTATTGCACTGCTAGAACTTCTAGAACAGTGTTGAATAGGCAAGGAAAGAGAGGTATCTTTTCTATGTTACTGTTCGAAAGGGGGGAAAGCATTCTGTATTTCACCATTAAGTAGGATGTTAGGTGATCCTCCCCACTCAAATAGTTCTTTATTAGATTGAGGAGATGCTCTGTAGTCTTAGTTTGTTGAGAGTTTTTAATCATGAATAGTTTTTAATCATGAGTTTTATCAAAGGCTTCTTTGACATCTATTTAGGGTAACATACGGTTTTTCCTTTACTTTTAATATGGTAATTCACAGTGATTGATGTCTGAAAAACTGGCCTTGCTTGGTTGGAATAAACCCTACTTGATCATGATGTATTCCTCTTTTGCTTTTTGAAATAATTCATATAGGCTTGATATTTCTTCTTCCTTAAATGTTTTATGGAATCCATCTGTGAAGGCATCTAGGTTTGAGTTTTCTTTGTAGGAAAGTTTTGATAATGAATTTAATTTATTTAATCTTTATGAAGATATTGAGATTTTCTATTTCATCTTGTTTAGTTTGGGTAACTTGTCTTTCAAGGAATTCATTTCATCTAAGTTGTAAAATTTATCAGCATAAAGCTGTTCATTGTCTTTATTGCTATTTAAATGTCTTTAGTATCTATGGTTATTCCCTCTTTCATTACTGAAATTGATAATTTTTGTTTCATTTCTAGAGAGTTTTTTTGAAACATCAATTCATTAATTGTTGGTGAAGAACTTTTGGCTTTAATTTTTTTCAAATTCTTTTTACTTATGTTATTGGTTTCCACTGTTTATTTTTTTCCTATTTCTGTCATTCTGCTTCCTTTTCCTGCCCTCCTTCCCCTTTACTTTGAGTTTATTTAGCCCTTATTTTTCTAGTTTTTTTTTTAAAAGGTGGAAACATAGATTCTTAATTTTAAATATTTTTTCTCTAAGATTTTAAGTTACTGCTTTGGTGGCATTCCACAAATTTTGATAAATGTTTCTTATCATTCATTTCAAAATATTTTGTTTCCCTCTTAATTTCTACTTTGAATGTTGGGTTATTTAGAAGTGTATTAATTTCCAAATACCTGGATACTTTTCTGGATATTGTGTTTCTATTGCTAACGAAGATTCCTTTGTAATCTTCGGAATTTCGGTCTTTGGAATTGCCTGTGACTTACTTTATGGCCCAGCATATCGTCTATCTTGGTGAACATTCCATGAGCACCTGAAAAGGAGTTTTATAAATGTCAGGTCAGGATGACCAACAGTGCTGTTCATATCTTCTATGTTTTTTGTTTGTTTTTTAATATCTAGTTATTAATATTGAAAGGGAATATTAAAACCTCAAACTATGATTGTGTATTTATCTCTCCCTATCAATCAGTTTTTGTTTAATGGGTTTTGAAGCTCTTGTATTAGGTGTATACAGTTTTGATTGTTATGTCTTTCTGATGAATTTGTCCTTTCATCATTATAAACTCTCCTACCAAATTGCTTTGTGGTATCACTTCCCCTTCAGATTGAAGAACTTCTTTCAGCATTTCTTGTCATACAGATTTGTTTGCAATGAACTTTTTTTTTTTTACTTGAAAAATGCCTTTTACAACTTTAATTTCAGACTTTTTTTCTTCCAGTACTTTAAAGAACTATATATCTTTAGATAAATCTATTTCTATAACTATATTGATCTATAATCATGTTCACTGACTGTTTCTTCAAATATCTTCTACCTACTGTGCAGCCTAATCAGTGTATTTTTCATTTCAGACAGTATACCTTTCAGTTCTAGAATTTGCATTGCATTTCTTTTTAAAAAATAATTTTATAATTTTAATTCCTCTATTTAGAACAACCATCTGTTTATTCATTATGATTACATATATTTTAATAACATTTGTTATAGACTCTTTTAAGTTCTTATCTACTAATTCTTCTGTCTGGTTCATCTTGGGGTCCATTTCGGTTATCTGCTTATTTGCTTATAAAGAGATAGGAAAAAATCCAAGTGTTTTTCCTACTTTCTATGTTCACACAGCCACTAACTCAGTACACACTCCTGATACCAGGTGTGTGTGAAGTTTTCCCCACACACCAAGCAAGCAGCTCTCCAGCGGACACCAGCTAGATGTCCTCTAATTCAGTTCAGTCCTGACATGAGCATGTCAGATCCCACAGCTTGAGAAGTGGGGATATAAAATTGATTAAAGATGTGTTTTCAAAGAAGAAACAAATAAAATATCTAAAATTTAACACAGTGAATATTAACATTATGTAGTAGAAGTTTAATAGAAGGAGGGATCAGGGAGACTAAAATAACATTTGAGCATGACTTGAAATATTGGTAAAGATTTAATAAACTTGGAAATTTCTCTTTGGTGCAAAGAGGTTGAATTACATGAATACAAGCATGTGGCAGGTTCGTAAGAGGTGAATGGGCTCATGTGGGGAATGTCAGAGGAGAGGAGTGGTGGAGATGAAGTAGGCAGTGTGGACGGGTCTAGCTGTGACAGGCTTTGAACGGGATGTGGAGGAGGTTGTGGGCTGTGCAGACCACAAAACAGTGGATTTCATAGAAGATTATTTTAAAGGTAGGGATAATATTGATTAGCTCCATATTTTAGAGAACTAACTGGCATTTGCTGAGGGTGGATTGCAGTGGAGAGAAAATGGGGCAGAGTTACCAGTTATACGTCTGTTGCAGCATTGAGGGGAGAAGACGAAGGTCTTAAGTGGGAGAGCAACAGGAGGAAACAGTAGGATTGAGAGGAATAGTTGATTTTTGATTCAGACAAAAGATACTGATTATTTGATTCAGGGGGTGCCAGAGGGAAGGAGAGGAACTCAAGGTAACCTTGAGTTGTCTCATTGGGTTTATTGGATGAATGATAATGTTTTTCTGGACTTCCTTTTTTGTTGTTTTGCCATTTTATTTGTATTAAATAAGTTACGTAGGCATGATTGATTAAGTCGTGTTGGACTGAACCTAATCTGCAGCCCCGCCTCTCCACAGGAGGTTGGTTTGCTGGTGCTTTGCTCAAAACCCTAACCCTCTAATCCCATGGTCTTTCTGGAATGGCCAGTCCTGCTGTTGAGTCATCTTGGCCTATACTAGGGCGTGGTTTGAGAGGATCATGAATAACAAAGACCCTCCTATTGCCGGAAAACACCAAGGATTTAAGACTCGCTCCCAGAAACCAGGGACAGAGGTCAAATACTCTATTATACAACATACCCCAGACTCATTCCACTCTCTCCTGCCATCCACTGCAACATTTCCAGATTCTTCTAATCTGCCATTTCTTGGTGGTCCGTTTTAGACATTAGCTGTCAGCCTCCCATTATGTGAGAGAAAAGATGGTCACTCCCTGGTTTACCTGTCTTGCCTGCCCCCAAACACACATCCGCCTTTTGTGCCTTATTTCAATTTTGTTTAAACCGGTGGTCAGTTACTACATTATTATGACTGTATAAGTCATGTGTCTTTGGACCTTTTTGAAAATTTCAAGAGCTTTTATTCTTGGATTCATTTATTTTCATGGCATCTAGTTCTTTTAGGGGTAAAAAATTTCTCTCGATATTAATTTGGTATCAAACTTTAGAATGATTTCGAAGTTTTTTTTTTTCTGTACCTGCTGTTAGTAGTTTGGTAGGGCTGTTATAACAAAGTATACTAGACCGAGTGGCTTAAACAACATACATTTATTTTCTCACCCTTTTGGAAGCTAGAAGTCTGAGATGAGGGAGTCAGTGGGGTTGGTTTCTTTTGAGGGCCGTGAGGAATGATCTGTTTTAGGCCTCTCTCCTTGGCTTGTAGACAGCGTCTTCTCATGAGTCTTCGTATGTCCTTCCCTCTGTGTGTGTCTCTGTCCAAATTCTTCCAATAAGGACACCAGTCATACTGGATTAGGACCCACCCATGTGACCTCGTTTCACCTTTATTACCTCTTTAAAGGCCCCCTTTCTGAATACAGCCACATTCTGGGGTACTGGGGCTGGGTTTAACATATGAAATTTGGCAGTGGCGGAGTGAGGTGGGTGGGCATAATTCAGGCCATACAACACCTGCAATATGTTTGTTCTGTGTTTTTTTCTTGTTTGTCTTTCTTCCATCTCTGTCTTACATATCTTTCCTCATTCCCTTTGGCTGTCCAATGTTGGGGGTCAGAAAACGATACCCTAAAATATGGTGCTTTGACATTCTGCGCTAAGGAAGCAGCCTCAAGCTCTCCCCGCACCCCTTCTGTCTCTCCCAAAGCACAGAATGAGGCTGTTTATCTGAAGTTCCCTTACCTACGGAGAAACTAGACCAACCAAAGAAGAACACATTTGCCTTCAGTTTCCTCCCTGAAATTTCATTAATCAGAGAAGATTAAAACTCATATCATAGAAAAAGAGACTGAAAATCAAACACTACACCTGGAGCCCAGATGGGCTTTGTCCAAACTGTTGTCTGTTCTCAGGTCCCATTTAATTCTCAGAATTATTTATTAACTACCATCTGAGCATTGGGCCCATTCATTCCCCCTAAAAATTATTTACTACCCCTCCAAATGGCCACATTTCGCCTATCCTCCCTTTCCCTTTGAAGAAGGGTCTGTAAGCATCTGGACCTCACCGGTTTGTTGGGTAACCATGCTCCTGCGAGTCCATGCACATTAAAGAAATGTGTCTGCCCTTTGCTCCTGTTAACCAGCCTCATTCATCTCCAGCGACCCTTTAGAGGGCAGAGGGGAAGCTTTCACTCATGGCCTGTACGCCTCCCACATCTTAGAGTGAGACTATTAACCGCTGATTTGATTGAGTTTGTGTGTGGGCAGTTTACAGTGAGTGGCTGTACAGGTGATGGGCGGACAAGCAAGCGGCCCTTCCCTTTTTGCAGGGAAGACACTCAGGTGTCAGGATCTTTGGGTCTTATTTTCCTAGGACTCTTCAGTTTCTGCGGGGAATAATGCTTCAGTTGTGTGGACAGGGTGGGATTGGCAGGAGGGGCTTGCACACCTGCTCACAGTGGCAAGGGCAGGAGGGGCTTGCACACCTGCTCACAGTGGCAAGGGCAGGAGGGGCTTGCACACCTGCTCACAGTGGCAAGGGCAGGAGGGGCTTGCACACCTGCTCACAGTGGCAAGGGCAGGAGGGGCTTGCACACCTGCTCACAGTGGCAAGGGCAGGAGGGGCTTGCACACCTGCTCACAGTGGCAAGGGCAGGAGGGGCTTGCACACCTGCTCACAGTGGCAAGGGCAGGAGAAGGGAGGCAGCCTGAGTCCCACGGCTTTGCTGCACAGGTTTACCCCAAATCCCTGGTCAGCCTGCCCCCAAGTTTCCCACACCTCTGCTGTGCTGGGGGTCTCTGAGTCCTGGTGCTCTTGCTTGGTTTCTTAAAAGACTAAACTTCTCTTCTCCAGACTGTGAAGGATGGAGGCAGGGGCCAGGGAATCTAACTTTTTAGTCCATAAAGATACAGGTCACCAGCAAGTCTCACTGTTCTGCTCTGAGCCTCACCCCACCTTCTGGGGCATCTGAAGCCCTGAGCACTTGAGTTCTCGGGTTTATTAGTAAAATTTTATTATTTTTATTATTATTTGAGATAGAGTCTCACTCTGTCACCCAGGCTAGAGTGCAGTGGCGCAATCTCGGCTCACTGCAACCTCCGCCTCCTGGGTTCAAGCAGTTCTCTTGCCTCAGCCTCCTGAGTAGCTGGGATTACAGGCGTGCACCACCACGTCGGCTAATTTTTGTATTTTTAGTAAAGACGGGGTTTCACCACGTTGGTCAGGCTGGTCTCAAACTCCTGACTCGTGATCCGCCCGCCTCGGCCTCCGACAGTGCTGGGATTACAGGCATGAGCCACCGCACCCGGCAAACTTTTATTATTTATTGCTTGCCTCCTGTATGCCAGGTACTGGGCTTTCCAAGGATTATCCTGTATGTTCTTTACAATAACCTTATGAAATGTTTTCTGTTTCTAGCTCCACTTTACATACAAGAAGAGGGAGATTTAGAACAGATTTAGTAAATGGGAGCAGCAGTACTTGAACACAAGTCTACCTGGTCTCAGAAACTACACTTTTCCCTCCTCTGTTATACTCACAACAGCTAGCAAATTCATGCTTCTGCCTGTATCTACGTTCTAGGTTTTGTAGAAATGTCAGTATATTGCATTGATTTGAGCATATTAAAAAAGAGTTGCTATACTATATAAACACAAAAGTAAACTGAAATTCAGTACACCTGTGGGAATGTAAGTGTGTTTTTATTTTTATGAGTATAGTTAATCAGAATATCTCCTTTAAACAGCCCTGGGGGTAGAACAGTAGAACAGTTCCTAGTATCAATTTAGGGTTCAGCAGAGGTAGTCATGGAGCTACGTGGTGACATTAGTTTCTCTCTGCCCTTGTGCTGAAAGTTTTTAGAACCCAGGGCTTAGCATTCTGTTATTCTTATGTCTTTCTTGCAATACTAACCAGAGTGTCCTTAGTAACTTAATGTTCAGTAGATGTTGGCTGATTGGCTAAATGACCCCTAAAAAATTCAAAACTCTGTGTTTAAGAATACTTTTTATATTTTGGTACTGACTGTCTAGCATTCTTATATTTTCAGCCAATGCTTGTCTCAGTTGGTACTAATCCTTTTTTCTTTCTCTTTTAACAGATTACTTCTCTAACAGGATCACCAGTTTGCTCCACAAAGCACAATGTCTCGATCACGACAACCCCCCCTTGTGACCGGCATCTCTCCAAATGAAGGGATACCATGGACGAAGGTCACAATCAGGGGAGAAAATCTGGGGACTGGCCCCACCGACCTCATAGGTAAGGGCAGAGGCCCTGCGACGCACCCTGCTAATCGGATTTTTATGTGGACAAGGGAGACAAGATATGTAATTTTCAAACAGTGAAGGTGATAGAACAAACATCTTTGTGATCTCTACAGAATGCTCCAAAAAGACGAAAGAATTATCTGGCTTTCTGAGTTTTGTGTGAAAATCATTATTTTGTCAAATCTTGCCTTATATTGTCTTTCAAATCCTTCAGAAGGTTTCCCAGGGCTGAGATTTGCCTCTGAATTTTCTGAAGCTTTGATGTCTTGATTGTCAAAAGAGCTGCTTTTATAGTTTTGCTCTCATTAGTTTTCCTTCCCTTGTCTGACTTGTCTGTTGCTTCTCAGGGGCTGTGTGAATTACACCTTTTCTGTTCCTTATTGCTCTTCAAAGCAAGTCTCAGCCCCATCTCCTGGTGACACGGGCAGCAGTTGGCTCTGTCTTCACTCCACCTGGCGGGCATGTGTCCTCATCGTGATCTGTGGATCCTATCTGGAGCGAGCCAAAGTTTAGTTTTTAGGGGCAGTTTATGTTTTTTATCTTTTCTAGCGGAGTTTAAGCTCAAGGTCATGAATGGTTAGGACACCACACCTCCAGCTGGTGTGGTATAAATATTTCTGGATGTTGGCTTGCATGGTAGCCTTCCTCCTTCCATGATGTGGCGGCCTTTACTGATGGCCTGTTCTTGAAGCTCTCAGGTCTGCGAGTGCTTCTCAGCCCTGGCTTTTCTGAATCTCTCTAGAACTTTAAACGTAAATCATTTGGCCTACTAAGTTTCAGTCTCTAAAGATGGAGCCTAAACATTATTTTTAAAAATATACACGGGTATTAGGGACAGCCAGGGTAGAGAGTTTTAAGTATAATTTTATGGCCAGTTACGATTACTTGCCTGTGAACTGCTCAGGTGGGTATACAGATGCATTCAGAATGAGGAAGGGAAAGGCCCCTCTCTGTGCTACTGAATGAATATTCTGGCTTCCCATTTACATTTCTTCTGGACTCAGACATTCTCTTGACTCATTTCTGCACTGATGACGGAGCTGTTACTAAGGTTCTGAAATCACGAATTGGAACTTGCTTTTCCTGCATTATGACTGCTGGTTGATAGATTGGTTTTTGGCCATCCAGAAAACTCTTTAAAAAGAAAAAGTGAACGGGAGCTCAGCACTGTGTTTAGTGACTGAGTTTTGCACTGCCTAGCCAATTCTTTTTGCTAGTGTTATGTCTCATTTGATATTGTTTTCTCTAACTGTGACCGGCATCTCTCCAAATGAAGGAATACCATGGACAAAGGTTACAGTCGGGAGAAAACCTGGGTAGTTTTTGATTGTTTAGTAAACATCACTTCAATTTATTCCTGCAAAAGTAGTCTTACCTAATCCTATGCCTTGGTTTTTGATAAAGCTCATTCCAGATGTTTCTTTACCTAAGTGTAAAAATCCCCAGAATGCATAGAAATCTACTCACACAGGTGGGGGTTCCGTCCAGAATTTTCGCTGGCAGTCATTGTGCGCTCCCAAACATGACAATAGTCTAGGTAAATTTTAATCTTGTTTGAGCTTCAGGCAATGCTATTCTTACTTGACTAAGCGTGTATTACTTTTCTTTTTGTTGCTGTTGTTTTTTGTTTTGAGACGGAGTCTCGCTCTGTTGCCAGGCTAGAGTGCAGTGGCGTGATCTTGGCTGACTGCAACCTCCGCCTCCTGGGTTCAAGCGATTCTCCTGCCTCAGCCTCCCCAGTAGCTGGGACTACAGGCGCATGTGCCGCCATACCCAGCTAATTTTTGTATTTTTAGTAGAGATGGGGTTTTACCATATTGGCCAGGATGGTCACAATCTCTTGACCTCGTGATCCGCCTGCCTCGGTCTCCCAAAGTGCTGGCATTACAGGCGTGCGCCGCCTTGCCTGGCCTGTGTATTACTTTTCTAAACCATGCTAGTTCAGCTTTCAACCTGCCTTATATATTGCCAAGAAACCATTTTTTAAAAAAGCAAACTTAACCTGCTAAATAATTTAAGTGTTTTTAACTCAGATGATATCTACACTAGCCAAGCAAAGCACTATAAAAAGTACTTTACTTGGAATTCTATGAGTTACTTTTTTTTTTCTAAAAGGTGCTATTTTATTTCATGAAGCAGATTTCTTAGCGTAGCTTAGCAAACGTGCTTAAGAAATCAAGAAATAGGTCTTAACGATCTTTTTTCTTTTCATAACATTTAAAATGATCTACTTGAATCTGTGTTTGAATTATTTGCTGATTATTCATTTTTTTGGAGTAAAAATGCACAACAGATATTAAATCAGAGGAATCGTGAAAGCAGCTGAGACCCAATGAATAAGCTATTGTTCTAGGGGCACTTTTGTGCCAACGGGGACCTCCATGCATATCATTCAGGTTTGCTCATGTGAACATGTTTTAATACTTTATATCTGAAATTTGCTCTTATTCCTCAGTTTTAAAAATAAGGTAGTTCTCTAGCAAGGAAATTTCATTAGGGATGACTTTTTTCCTTTAATGAAGATACTATTTGTATTTTTACATTGCTACCTGACGTTAATTGTTGGGTTGTTCTTCATTCTGAAGTGGGTTAATATTTAAAATCACAAAAATCTGATATTAAAATACTTAAAAATATTAAGTTGTCTGTTGACCTGGAGTGATACCAAAATACCTACTGTCAATAATTAAGCAGGTTATACATTGAAACAGTTGTTTAAAAAACATATAGACTGGTTTTTATATGCACAGAATCACTTGAGCAAGTGAACATTGACATGTTAGCAGTATTTCTCTCGCGAGGTGGAGTTTGGAGAGGCTTTCAATCTCTTAAGTTATTTAAGTTTTTCATAACAAAAATTATTAGAAAAAATATCAAAGACATGCCCATTTTGAAAAAAATAATTTTGAATAATGAATATATTTAAAAATGTGTTATTATAATTAAAATATACCAGTAGAAACCATAGTCCTGAGGAAACCTTTTAATGCCATTATTAGAAAAACAAAGTTGCAGACATTAGTGAATTATAGGTATTTTAGAGAAACCCCTAAAATTCATTATTTCAAGCAATGTATCTTTAAAGCATAGTTGCTTTTATTCCTTTATGGTTTAACATTCTTACTAAATAGTTCTTTAAGTTGGAACAAAAGATGATTTGACTTTGTGCCTCCATTTTAAAGTCAGATTTGGCATTAGGTGATATATTTCTGGTATCTGAAAAAAAGCCGAAAGAAAACATTGCCATTGCTAAACCTTAGTGCTGAACATTATAGAAAGTTAAATAATGAGAAAAAGTGTGAAGTGTCTGCCGGGCATGGTGGCTCACACCTGTAATCCTAGCACTTTGGGAGGCCAAGGCAGGTGGATCACTTGAGGCCAGGAGTTCGAGACCAGCCTGACCAGCATGACGAAACTGTGTCTCTAAAAAAAATACAAAAACAAAACAACAACAAAAAAACTAGCCGAGCGTGGTGGTGCTCACCGGTAGTCCCAGCTGCTTGGGAGGCTGAGGCTGGAGAATTGCTTGAGCGTGGGAGATGGAGGTTGCATTGAGCCAAGATCACGCCACTGCATTCCAGCCTGGGCAACAGAGCAAGACCCTGTCTCAAAAAAAAAAAAGAAAACGTCAAGTGTCTGTGTCTGTGCCACATACATTCTGGTTTCTTTTCTCCATAAATATTAATTACATTGGTCTCTGTTTTGTGGAAATGGAAAATCTAAAGGAAGTAAGTTGGAAGGCTAGCTGACCAGTGTGGTGCCATGCTGGTATTCCCCCTGAGGTGTGTGCCTTACTCACTGCATCTTTCAGTGCCTCTCTGTTTGGTTATTACCTAAATTTTGTTTTACATGGTATGAGGGAGGTGACATCATGAGTTGACCTTCTGGGAGTGTAGGTTTACTGTAAGAGCAGAATGTAGTGTAGTGACAGTTTCATTAGGAAAGCACTAGGGCAGGAGGAACTACTATGCCAGCAGCTGACACACCGATGTAAAAGTGAGATGGTAATCCAGTAATGCCTGAGCACACTTCACTAGATTACCTGACTCTTGGTTATGCTTAAATAAAAAACCTACTTTAGTTCATTCTGTAATGCCATGTATAAGTGAACACTAGAAAAAGCACGTGAAGATTTGTCTCAGGAAGATGGGTGAATGTAGAATGTTTTTAGAAAATGATACATACGTTTATTAATACACTTTAAAATTCTATGTTAATAACTGAGACTTCAAATAATAGCAGTAGTTTCCCTTTTATTACCTCTGAAAGCATTTTAAGATTCTCGTAATCTAAGTAATCTGGAATTCCTGCAACATAGTTGTTGTGGTGTTCGTTTTCTAATTCTACGGATGTTTGAAGAAACTCAAATGTAGCCTAAAAGAAGTCTTAAATATTGGAGAAAAAAACAGGTAAGAGGAAAAGTCAATAGAGATAACAGTATATCTGCAAATAATATTGGGTATATTCAATAATGTCATTATTGAACAAGACTAGATTTAAAAAATGTAATCTACACGATTAAGGTCTTATTGTTCTTGTCTTTGAATTTTGTTATGCACATGCGTTTATTTTCAGGCTTGACCATTTGTGGACATAATTGCCTCCTGACGGCAGAATGGATGTCTGCAAGTAAAATAGTATGTCGAGTGGGACAAGCCAAAAATGACAAAGGAGACATTATTGTCACCACTAAGTCAGGTGGCAGAGGAACCTCAACAGTCTCTTTCAAGCTACTCAAACCTGAGAAAATAGGTAAAGTCTTTCATGGGTTTATTCTAAAGAAGAAAGTAAAAATGAGTTTGTCTTTTAAGCTGTAAAGCTGGTAGATTCGTGTAAAACCTACCTACTTGCATATCTCAACTTAGATTTAGTTTATGTTTATTTTGACAGGATTGGGATGTTGGTTAATATTTGTGTTACTTTCGGGAAGGCAGTGTGCTGAGGTAACAGTCAGTGAAGCCTAAGGATGACGGTCGTATGAGAACTACTCTTCTCAGTTCTTAAAATCTGTTCGTTCACTTGATATACCAGTTTTGGTTCCTTGATCTTGAATATAATGACATTGCTTTAAACTCTTAAACAAGGTTTGAGGTGAAAAATCCTGATTTGGCCAAATTAGTAATAATATATCTAAATAATATTCCCTTTTCCTTCATTTTATCCATCCTTCAAGGCCCAGATGATACATTTCCTAGCTTGGCTGCTTTTAACGCCCCTGTTAGTAATACTCACTCTTCTTTGAACCACATAGCACTTTGTTTTCCTTCTTTATGCGCTGACCACTTGCTGCCTTCCGTTAGCAGTGTTAGGAACTTGCTGCCTTACGTTAGCAGCGTTAGGAACTTGGTCTGAGAAGTCATGCTCTTTGAATTCTAACCTGGACTCTCTTACCATGACTGAGTATGTAACTTTAATACCTTCTTTATCCATGAGCAAAAGTGGAATATATTGGCTACCTCATAGGATTGGGTGAGTTAGAACATAAATGTAAAGTGCTTAGCATAGTCCCTTACCCAGCAAATTAATAATTTCTGATGATCTTTCTTGTAGCTATTTCTGTGCATGTCTCTTTCCCTTTTTAGAATAAGAGTAATGTCAGATTCATCTTTGTGGTCCTGTAATGTCTTGCACCTGGTCAGCATTTGATAAATATTTGTATAATGTAGGAATATCAGAGGCGTAATTAAACCCAGCCAGTACTTCTCTTTATAAAGAAAATAAATAATTTTGCAAATTGTTTTTTTAATCTTAGAGCATAGAGGCTTTCTGCAGCATTGTTCTCCACAAATTCCTAGATTATTTTTATAAATAAAAATTCAAGGAATTTCAGGGAAAATTCAGAGTGGACTTTATATATGTACATGTACGTGCATGTGTACATATATACATATATAACATTTCTATTTTTGTTTACTCTTTTTATTTAGTGTCTTCAAAAACTAAACTGAAACTAAAGCAGGAACTTGTTGTACAGTTTTCTAGAGGGACTTAAACATTTTGATAAAAATCTAATATCTTATGATCTATTTATATAGCAGATAAAGAAAACTTAGGCAAAAGTGGTAATTTTATTATTCTGGAATACTCATTCCAGGACCTAGCACATAGTAGGCTTAGTAAAGGTTTCTTTTTTTTTTTCTTTTTGTTTTGAGACAGAGTCTTGCTCTGTCGCCCATGCTGGAGTGCAATGGCGCGATCTCAATCTTGGCTTACTGCAACCTCCGCCTCCCAGGTTCAAGCAATTCTCCTGCCTCAGCCTCTGCAGTAGCCGGGATTACAGGTGCGTGCCACCATGCCCAGCTAATTTTTGTATTTTTAGTAGAGATGGGGTTTCACCATGTTGGTCAGGCTGGTCTCGAACTCCGGACCTTGTGATTCGCCCACCTCGGCCTCCCAAAGTGCTGGGATTACAGGTGTGAGCTACTGCACCCGGCCAGTAAAGCTTTCTTGAACTGAACTCAAGAGTGCCTGGACTTGAGCAGAAGCCCCTGTTGCATGCTGGCAGAACCACGAGTGCTGAGAGAATGAGTGGGTTCATAGAGGGCCTTGCAGCTACAGGTTGCCTGGTATTCAGACAGCCTTCTCCCATGAAGCCTTCTGATCCTCGCCTGGGGAGGCAGGCACGCTTTGTCTGTGCTCCCTGGCACTTGGCTCTTTTTCTGTTGCAGCCCAGGGCCTTGGAGGCCTAGCTGGTAAGCCCTGTGCTAGGTTGAATGATAACGGAGTTCAGTCCCATAAAGGAAGATGCTGTTTTTAGAGCTTATGTTGTCTTGTTCACAGGGTCCACACCCAGTCAGTTTTCCCTGAATAACCTGGTTATTTCCATTATACAAGCCATGCGTTCCTTGAAAGGTGTTTGATTTAATCGTTAGATATTTTATTGAATTTACCAAATTGATTTCAGCCTAATACGGAAAAAAATCCCTGCTGTTTCTACCATCTAGGACATTTCCAGCACTGATAACAGCAAAAAGAATGAGAAATAGCAAGTAGCATATTATTTTTGCATAACTATTCATGAAAACATGCCAGAGTTTGTAGAGGAAAAGAAAATAAAAGATATTTCTTGAGAGCTTTCAAGAACCATTTAAAAAACATTTGGTTTTCATTTGTAGTGAAATGTCCTTAGGTAGCTTATGGAACCCAGAAGCAGAAACTCACAGTATTAAATATAAAATCATATATGCATAATGGTTTTTCGGCATTTATCATAAACCAGAAGCTTTCCACTGAGCTAACATTTTACTCGAATGTTTTGTGCTTGGATATTTCCCAGACATTTTCCAAGAGTTTACATGATTTCAGAATATTCTCTTGAATAAACAGATATTATAGGTCATATTATTTCATCTTACTGACTTTCTGAATTTTTTGTGCAGATTTAATCAGCTACATTTAACAATGTTTAATTGTAGTGTTTATTATTTGTAAAATATGTTTGTTATTGCAAAACTTTGTCTAAGCAGCTTAATTTGTCTTCTCTGTTGAGTAATGTACAATGAAACCATAAGCTGAGAGGTGTAATTTTTGCCTTTTTATAAATTTTTTTAGTGCTTATAATTAAACTACTAGTCATTTTTTAAAAATTTAGCTGTTATGTCCTCAAATCTCTTAAAGATTATCCAACAGGCATTTTGTATTAGGTCTTTAAGAAGTCAGACAATAGGCCAGACGTAGAAGGTGCCTGGGGTAGGCTTCATCTTATTAAGCATATGCTCCTCATTTCTGTAGGCATTTTGGATCAGTCTGCTGTGTGGGTTGATGAAATGAATTATTATGATATGCGCACTGACAGGAACAAAGGAATTCCGCCCTTGTCCTTACGTCCTGCTAACCCGCTTGGCATTGAGATTGAAAAGTGAGTACCATCTTGCTTTCAGTCTTCTTTATTTTTCAGTTCCTGAAAAGTTTTATATACTTACAGGAAAGGGACTCAAACTCCAGAAACATCCCAGGAAACACAGTTGAAGACACCTCAGTTGTTTGGAGATGGGTGTTATTTATGAAGCCTTGTTAGCTATGCTGCAAGTAAACTTTGCAGTTAGTTAAAACTTGTGGCTAAAACTACTTTTACCTCTTCAGTTTTTTGATTTTGCATTTTGTGAAAAAGAAAAGTCTTTAGTATGTTGTCTAGAGATGGTTAAGTTTAAATAGGTAGATGGCACCTGAAGTCAAAATAGCATACATAATCTGTTTTTTTGATTTTTCTAGAAGTATTTTAGAATAGCCAGGTCTAATCTGGTCTTTAATTTTGTCTATAATGTCTACTCATTCTTGCTTAATCCAGACTTATTTAACTTTAATCATCAGAATTCTGCCAGGTAAATGATATCTTTCAAGATGCCTTATAACTGAATCTAGAGTTTTTTTCTGAATTCCTAGTACAGTGTTTTAGTAACTTTTATAATTAGTGCCTTTCTACTTAAACAATTCACCTAATGTGTTAATCGCAGCTAATTTATCTTCTGGCCTTAGTGCTTCTGCTTATGGAATTGTATACTGAGTATTGCTCTGTAAACTCTTACCAAAAGTGACAAATTAGCACTGTTAATACTTTAACCATGGTTTTAGTTTAGGGTTTTCTAGGAATGGGGAAAATTCTCCAATAATCTCTCTATATATAATCTTCAAGCCTACTCTTGAAGATCATTAGTTTCATTTTCACCTGCTGGGGTTTGCCCCTGGCTGAGGGGAAGTAGCATGTTTGTCTTGGGAAAGTAGCACGTGTTGAAAAAGTCTGGGGCTTAGCAGCTTCACGTGAGCTTTGACTGTTCTAGGTAACATCTTTGAAACATTTTTGCAGTATGGGTCATTCTAGAGCCGTTTAAGGATTCCAGTGCCTCCAAAATTAAGAGTTCAAAGATTGAGAAGGTTTAGAAAATAATGGTAACAGTTGGGTATTTATTTGAGCACAGTTTTAAGCATGAATAGACTTGCAGTTGATAGTAAGCCCCTTATGGGTGCTTCAAGGCTCTGGAAAGCCAGTCTCTTTCCAACCTGCCTGAGAAGTGTGGAGCAGGAGGCCCTCTGAGCTGCTCTTCATAACCAAGAGCCAGTTTTATACATGGGCAAAAGGAATATGGAGATATACAAAATATATTTAGTATGAGACTTGGACAAAATTATCAGTTAGGGTTCATTCAGACGTTTACTATCATAAACGTGATTTCTTCAACTTCTGTTTTGGTGTTTACCCCCACCCCTGTTCTCTCTACCTCCCCACACCTTCTCAGCCTTTGAATCTCTTTATTATTCCTGTTGCTGCTGCCCACAGTGTGGTTTGGCCTGAACTGCGTCTAACAGCAGTGTTCCTAATAAGTGTCAGGTTAATTATTTGATGAGATTGGTAATGGCAGTGAAGAATAATGGCACTGAAAGTACTTAGCTTTCTTAAAATGTTCTTTTCTTCTCTGAGAGGTAGTTTGATTTTGTGTGGGGCAAAACTCTCTCAATTTGAACTTGGGCTGTGCCACTTACTAGCAATATGACATTGAGTAAGTTACTTAGATTCCTTTTGCCTCAGTTTCCTCAGGTGTACAATGCAGTACCTGTTCCTTAGGGTCGATGCGAGGAATCAGGAAGTGAGGAGGTAAACAACTTGGAGCATAGCAAGTGCCTCACAAGTGTTCATCCTTACAGGATTCTTTGCTCTTCTTGGATATATACTATTCATTGTTCTGCCACATAGGAAAAGTTTTTGTTTAATGACTTAAGATTCCAGGGTACTAAAGTGTTTTAAAATTTTAAAATAACATTATGTACATTTATCCAATAAGTACTTCAGTGGGAATAAAATTAACAGATTTTGATGTTACTGTACAGATTGTTACTTAAGTTTCAGAAATATTTGCTCAGCCATGGGATAAAGTAAAATATTAAAGGATAATTTTTGAAAAAGGGAAAATCATGATTCTTATACAAATATAAAATAAATAGATGTCAGAGCTTTTATTTAACTCATAATTAAGGAAAGAACCAATAAGATGTTAAATCCAGCCCAAAGGAAAGTCCAGAGGGGAGACATACGCAATGAGAAATGCCGAAAGATGCAAGACCGTCACTCCGTCTCGGAGGAGCCAGTGGTATCCTCACCTGATGTGCATTTCTGTGGACAGGAATCCCTGGCATCGCCATTAGCCCTCCACAAGCCAGCTCTGTCTTTCTAATAGAGACTCAGAATAGCCAATGATCAGAGAAAGGCGCGGATCCTGTAGCATCAGGGAACACGGGGAGGGCCCTTTAGGCCGTGAACAGACATCCAGTCATCCTTCTGTCCGTCTGAAAGTGTTTGGCAAAAGACTTTCAAAAGAAAGAGAGGCTAGATGTAGAGATTCCAGGAAGCAAGAAAATGAAAGATGAAAGTAAGAATAGGTGTAGAAACCAAGAGAAGATAATGCTTTTGGCCAGAAAAATGCTTTTCCAGGCTTCTTTTTTTTTTTTTTTTTTTTTGGATACTGTCAAGAAAGCTGTGTTTATCTTACTGAATTCTTTGACCTCTGTTAGATAAATCTTGTTTTAGAGAAAGATAAAAGGAAGGAAAGGCAGACTGTAGAATGTTGATGTGGGTTTTATTTTGCTGATTTACTTACTATTTTTCAGATGAAGGCTTTGGTAGAGGATGGTATTGTACTCAGGTCAGGATCCCTACTGTCTTTTAGTTCTGTTTATTAATGTCATTTGGGGCTTTTAAAAAAATAATTAAAAACCTAGAGAGCACCTACTTTTTGAAAATGTCAGTATTGAAGGAATAATAGGGTTTTAGTATTATTTGTTTGTGGAAACATACTTAAAAAAGTTTGCGGCCGGGCGTGGTGGCTCACGCCTGTAATCCCAGCACTTTGAGAGGCCGAGGCGGGCGGATCACTTGAGGTCAGGAGTTTGAGACCAGCCTGGCCAACGTGGTGAAACCCCGTCTCTACTAAAAATACAAAAAATTAGCTGGGCGTGGTGGCAGGCGCATGTAATCTCAGCTACTTGGGAGGCTGAGGCAGGAGAATCACTTGAACTCAGGAGGTGGAAGTTGCAGTGAGCAGAGGTCGGGTCACTGCACTTCAACCTGGGTGACAGAGTGAGAGTCTGTCTCAAAAAAAAAAAGGTTTGAAGAATTTGTGAGTGCTGTGGTCCTAGTGAGTTATCAGATTGCAGTGGGGAGGCAGCCTTCAGGAGAGAAGTCAGTTTGTGGTGATAAATTCTCGACAGCTGACGGTCTAGCGTGCACACTGGGAACGTGAGGGGCCCTGCGTGTGGTGTCCGGTTCAGCTGAAGATGGCAAAGCCAGTGAGAGTAACACAGTACGGTTGCCTTGTGGCTCTTTGGGGTGAGTCAGAGTTTAATAAATATTTTACCGGTGGACCCAGGCTGCATGCTTTTTTCTTTCAGCCTGCAAGTTTAACAACGTGGCATTTGTTGGCTGTCTTTGACTGTTAAGACCCTTCATATTCCTAAATTTTTAACTGATGTTTTTGCACACAGAGTGTCATGATACTTATAAAAATGTTACTAATTGCTCAGAAAAAATAACTTCACTTTGAATTGAGACTAGGATTTGCTTGTAAAAAGTCTATATTTCTGCTTTACGATGGCAGTTGTCACAAATATATGTGGTCTTTGCATGACTTCAGTTGTAATGCTGACAAACTATTTAAACCAAAAAGGAAGGTAAAAACAGGTTCATGTTAAGTAAGAACCTTTGCTAGGCTTTGTTTCTTGAAATCAATACTCAATTGCCTAACAAGAGGGTATTTATGGGTAATGTGTAGGAGACGGTCTGTATATGGGCGCAGGGGCAGAAATCAGGAGCTTTGTACTGTTTTTATATGATCTCAACTGTTTTTGTGACTTATTACCTGGGAATGGCTGTCTAGAAGAGTCAGTTGTTGCACCACTAGTGTCTGTTTTATTTCTACATGGGTGTTATGGGCGATGCAAACCTGATTTTCTTCGAATCGGCCTGGCTTCAAACAGAAAGAAAAGACCAATTTCAATTTTCCCACCACATTTAGAAGACTGTATTTTAAAAGAGGAAAACTGACGGCAAATTAATTCTTAATATGAGTGCAGAAGAAAAGAGCCTTAGGTGACTTTACCTTTAGAACTTGTGTAAAAATAGATGGGCAATGAGAACGCCTTCAAGTCCAGAAACTGGGTCAGACAAAAAAAAAAAAAAAAAAAAAAGAACGGAAACAAACTTATAATACGTAATACAACAGAGTGTAAACAATGTTGGTAAAAATTGAAAGCTACGAGAGATATGTGTAGCATGCACACAAAGAACTAGCAATGCCCACTTTCACTGTTGGCCTCCCCCCTCCGTCTTCCATCCGCCAAATCAAGAAAGTGTGTTCTCTTTGCCGCAAGCGCGGAATAACACCGCTGCAGCCAGGCCTCACTGTGTGTGGGGTGGCTGGGGCTGTCTCAGAAGGAGGCCCATTGATTTGCATGCTGCATGGGTCATTGCTGCAGAGAGTCCTCATACTGGAAAGCAAGTGCTGAAGTGTGAAGAACGTGCCTGTTTGTGTCTCTTCGCTCAGTCCACAGGCCTGTGTCTTCTCCTGGCTTGGGGCTAGCTGTTTTTTAGAAGGTTTAAATCTGACCTTACACTGCCATCTAATGGAAAACATATCTGTTCAGGGTGGCAGGAATTGTCCGTGACTGAAACTGTGTGTTTCGATTCCTCGATGAAAACATTTCGTGAGTTTACACAGTAGGGTCTCTGTCACTTTCAGTCCTAACTCTGTGCTAGTGGATTTAAAATGCAGGCTTGGTTTGAAGTACTCAGAGCGTATGTTGCTTTTTCTGATGTGTCTGAGCCGGGACTTCACTTGGAAATGTAGAATCCGAAATCCAGTTATTCTGAACAAACGTAAGAGTTTTTACTCCGTGCTTCATTAGCTGTGTTGATATACTACCTCTTCCTTTCCTGTTACTGTTATTAAGGGCATTAGCAATTCTCTTCATTTGAAAGCAGCTCCCCTTTCGCACTCTCCTGCATTGTCATCTTTACGGATTTGTAGTTGTGATCGTATTTCCCACCTAAAACCCTCTGGTTCTCTGTTTGACAGTAGAAGTACCAGGTTCAAATCTCGACTGTTTACATATAACCTCTCAGAGGCCATTTCCTCATCTGGAACATGGAAATATTTAACTCAGTTATTGTCATGGGAATCAAATAATACTTAGGAAATTAGTCTGTAAGATATAAATAAGTATAAATAATAAAAATAATAGCAAATAACATTTTTGAGCATTTATCATGTGTCAGAAACTGCTAGGCTTCCACAAGCATTATCTACTCTGATCTTCAAAACATTCCTAAGAGGAAGGTATGGTGATCCATTCATAATGGAATAACTTCTCGAGATTATACAGGTGGATTGAGCAAACATCGAGATTGAACCCAGAGCCTGTGCTCTTAGCCACTGCTTATTACTGCTGCTTCCCGTTGGGAATACTGAGATGAGCCACCTGTACTTTTGCAGCTGTGTTACCCATGGAGCTTCATGGACTCTGGCATTGGTATTCATTTTTTGTTTTTTCTAACTCATTTATTTCACATTTTTGAGGTGTTTGCATAAAAGATCAGTATATTTAGGCATATATTTTGCAATAGAATATGGAATCAGGATGCCTTCACCTGCAATTAAGATTGATTTAAACAAAAATAAAATCTACTTTTTCATAATATACAATATTCATTGATGGCAGACTCCAAAGGTTGGTTGAGTCAGTCATGTCACCAAGATGTGAGGAGCCTGGGTTTGCTGGCTGTTCTGTTGCCCTTAGCATAAAACACATTTCCTTAGCAATTGTGGTTGAAACTGGACATAATGATGTTCTCAGGCAGAAAGATGGTGTCTCTTCTTGGTTTCCCTTCTTGAAAGTATGGAGACCTTTCCCAGATGTGCTCCAACAGACCTTCCTCCGACATCACTGTTCAAAAACAAGTTTATCCAATCAAGAGCAGGGGGAATATGACAAGCGCGGTTGGCTTATGGTGGTTGATCTCTCCCCAGTTAAGGGGCAATTGGGGGGCTGTGTTTCAGCAGAGAGGGTCCAGGGTGATTGGTGGGTCATAGCCAACAGTGTCCACTAGAAACAGGCTCTGTGTGTCCGGGCAAGGTTAGTCCTGGCCTTAATGGTGTGATTTGGGGAAGATTATTTGACATCTGTGTTAGAATTTCACCATCTTGAAAATAATGTCTGTCTTGTTCTTGTAAGGCTGATTTCTGCTATAAGTCTCAATACATGTCTTCCAATTAAGATCAGTGAAAGAGTTTTAATGTCTTCAGTAAGAACTCTCAGAATAATCAGCTCCGTCTTAGGGGAGGTGGTATTTTGACCAAGAGATGTAGTGCTTTTCAAATTGTACCTGGCCCAGTTCAGGGGCCTGAAGGAACGACGCATCCGGGTAGGGGTGCTGGCGGGTGGGTGGGGCTCGAATCTCAGAATCCAGCTCCAGGGGCTTGGGCCTCCCTGCTCACTCCAATGCAGAAGCCAAGTCTCAGGCTCTGCCACCCGTGTCCTCCCAGCGGCCTGTGGTGCACGGGATGTTCATGGCTGAAGAGCTGGGAGTGCAGGGCCAGTGGGGACCTCACCAGACCCACTGCTTTCTGGCCAGGGGCCCCACTGCTAGGGACTGGCTAGACCCATCCCTGCTCCTTCTGAGGATGAGGGAGGGAGGGACTCCTGGGGGTAGGAGAGTTTCTTAAAATCTTAACAGTCCCTCTCCTGGAGCCCTCCACTAGACATCAGGCCTTTATGTTATGATATAACTGAGAGCAGTTTAGATTTGTAAAAATAACAATTTAGTAATGCATTGTAAGTGAGATGTTACCAGAGTTTAAGTATCAGGGGAATTTTAAAAATGGAGTACAGAATGGAAAGCTCTGAGCTGCTGGTTTACATTGTTCAGTACCATCAGTACCACCAATTTAAGCATTGTAACTGTTTAGGACAGAGCCTTTTCTGTATGTGCTGTGTACATTCTGTTTTTTAAAACATTTTTTATTTTGGCTAAACACGTGGAGTATGACGTAGCTGCCAGACCCATGGGGACTGTGTGTTCTTAGCCGTTTCTCCAGGGCATGCAGCTGCTGTATTTTTGAGTTTTGTGTCTGCATTTTATACTTTCTTGCGTTACTTGCTACCATTGTGTCACAGATCCTTTCTTCACATCATCAGCTCTTAACGCTAGCAACTGCCGTTCATTCCCTGTTCGATTATGGGCAGAGAAACACCGAGGCACAGCGCAGCACCATGGGCGTGGGGGAGGGGCACAGAAGCTGTTTGACTTCTCAGCCTTCTTTCGTTTCTTTTTTCTCAGCTGTGTCCTTAGGTTACTTGGACTTGATCCCTGCTGGATGAGGATGTCTTGTACTTAAATCAGGTGTGAAGACTGTTGTTAGTAGGAACTTAGTTGATACCAGTAGCGCATTTTGATTCTGTTCAGACCATTTAACTCTCTGACCAAGTGAAGTGTGAGACACCACATTGAATGGCCGTGTCTAGAAGGAAGGTCGACAGAAACATGGTCTGCAGCCACCATGACTTCTGCCCGCGATGACACGCCTTACTAATTGGTCATGTCATTCTTTCTAGCTGAGTTGAGACAAAGCCCGTGATCCCTCACACAGTGCTCCAGGCAGATGCTGCCTGCCGGTTAGAGCAGGACTGCAGAAGGAGGCACTTCTGGGTCACTTAGCCGGGGTTCAGCATGTCACAGCTTAGCCTAAGCCTCCACTCAGTCTCTATATTCCCCCAAAGCTCTAACTTGGAGGCATGGGGTGCAGATAAATAAAGTGAGAAAAACTTCCAAAGGTGAAAGGATTTTCTTACTAAGTAAAGTATGAGAACCAGCATGAAGAATCCAAACCAAAATAAACTTCTAAAAACTCAAAGTTCTCCACCTCCCTCCCAGAGACTGCTGACCGGTGAAAAGGACCAGCAAGTAATGAATGCCACATGCATGTATCGGGAGGATTCAGACTATAAATCTTTTAACTCGTGAAGCTAGTGAGAAAAGATGCACGATCGACTCAGTCTCGGTGGAAGTGGTGCCACCTCCCAAAATCTCATCTGTCTTCTTTTCTGTTATCATCATTCTAAGCAAGGCATCCCCCACCCAGTCAAAAAAGGAACATAGTGAAGAAGGACAGTGTTACCGAATGTGAATGGGACGCCCTGTCCTGGCTGAGATGCTCACGCAGTAGGCATTAGACTTTGGAGTGAGTGGCGTCTCGCTGTGCAGGGTTGATAGAGGAACTCCTCGAGATCTGGTTTTGCAGCTCACATTCCCTGTTCTTCTAGGGACCACAGAGGGAGAGGATGTGTAGAGAGGCAAGGAGGGTTTGTGCAGAGATATCTGTGGGGAGAGCTGGGGTAGGCCATGAAGTGGGAGGATGCAGAGCATGTGACCGTCTTCACTGAGGCCTGGTGAGTGGGACCTCCAGGTGACAGTGTTCCCTGCAGCTGTGAGACACAGAGCCTGCATGGACAGTAGAGGTGGCTGCATTTTAGGGGTGTTCTCCATGTCCAGGTGTGCAAGCACCTTGCTAGAGAGAGTGGGCTCCAGGCCATTGGAAGTTGTGCCTATGGGCACTGGTCACCTGAACGTGGAGGGGCTCCAGCAGGGAGTGTCTGCGGTAAGACTGAGACCACTGGAGGCTGAGGAGTGGCAATAGGAAGCAGATGCATCCATGAGTCATGGCTGGAGGAGTCCTCCAGAGCCCTTTAGGGAACCCGTGAAAATGCCCCCAAGACTCAAGTAGGTTCGAATACCTGGCAGGCAGAGAGCACAGACCACCTATGGCAGTACCAGGCACAGGCCCCGAAGGACATTCCATTCTTGTCTCTCTGTCCATCCCACCCTTAACCTCTACGAGAGAGCTGCCATTTTTCCCCCAAACGAGTAAGCAGCCTATTAACTATTGACCTTGGCTGGGAAGAGGGAAGAAAAAAATGTTACCTTTGGGTGAAGTTGGAGTGTGGATCACGAACTAAGCTGCCTAATTTCTGAATTGAGGCTGTGTTTGTAATGAGGAGACAGCAAGACTCTCCCAGAGAATACCAAAGTCATCGGACCTACCCACATTAAAATTCTTTTGGGGTAGGAGTGTTTTCCCCACTGCGTAACTGTTAAAGAGATACTACCCTATCAAATGATCTGTGTCTGGTTTATACCTTATGAGTTGGGCTTGTCCAGTGTTTTGGGGTAGGGGACACATCTTAGAGGGGGCGGCAAATCAGACGAACAAAGTAAACCCCAAGATGGTGGAGACCAACATGCGAGACAGTATAGTCCCTTTGAGGCTGCCGAAGCGTCAGGTTTCATGCCTAGAGTGGCAGAAATGAGCCCTGAGGGACAAGCAGATTCAGTTCATAGACATGCTTGGATTTCATCCTGCAAATGGGGCAGGGGGCGCCAGCAAAGGCTGCCACGTTGTGAGCCTCGGTGGGTACATCTGGCATCCCAGCATGGAACCTGATCTATTGTCGATACTTGATTAATAGTCGAACGAATATATAAATGAATTGATCCAGAAGTCAGTCTTAAACATGTAGGCAAGATGAGGGAGCAGCAGATTATGTATATACCCTGTTGTTATCACAAGCTTTTCTTAAAGTCATTCTAGACATGGACGCAAATGTGAGTGCTTTGTGATTAGATGTGGTTTTATTAGTACTTTGATGATTTCTTAGTATGTCTTAAAACAACTTTCATCTAGGTTTTAACAAAAATCATTTTAACAAAGTGATTTAATATTTTAGAATTTCACTGTATTCAAATTTTGATTTTTATACATTGAATGGGGATTGATGTCATATTTTGATAGGTTTAATAAAACTGTCAACTCAGCCAGATGTCTTAATCCTCTTTAAACCTTATATTCTTTTATTGATGTAATTTCTGTATTTCAACTAGTTTCCTATCTTTTCTATATAAAATCAAAGTTTAAGTGATAGAAAAATCAGCCATGATGTGGGAAATATATTTTGTACATATATACAAACATGTTCTGGGTAATGTATGATTAATATGTATTGTTGTAATGGTTAGTATTCATATGTGTTATACTGGATACTTAGTGATACCTTTTCCATTTTTGTCATAATAACCATTGAAATATATTTTAAACGTTTTTTCCCCTCAGAAGTAAATTTTCGCAGAAGGACTTAGAAATGCTATTCCATGGAATGAGTGCTGATTTTACAAGTGAGAATTTCTCAGCAGCCTGGTATCTTATAGAGAATCACTCAAACACCAGGTTAGTGGATATGGGACTGTCAACTGTGAAGGGTTTCACTCAGATGCTAAAGATGGAATTACACGGTAACTCGAGTTTTAGGTCTGGCTCTGCATACAGTTACATGGTTTTAGGTCTGCGAGCTCTTTGACTTTGCGTTTACCCGTGAACATCTCAGGGTGTCTGTTTCCCTGTTTGTGCAATGGGATGATTCTTTAGAGGTCTCTCATTTCCTACTGTCATTTTATGTTCAATATATTTCATTATTGATGCAGGTTATTAAAAATTTATGGAGCCTTAGCTGGGGACTTAAACTGACATGTATGAATGTGATCTCTCCCTACTCAAATAACATAAAAATTTTAAGTTCTGGGGTAAAACATGGAACACACTGCCTTCTCTGACCATAGGGCAAAGGAAGATGAGTTGGTTTATCATCATGTAAGGACCTGGCTTAAAATTAGCAAAAAAGTAGACAAGGTCATATATCCAATTTGAAGGTTCCCTTCTGTCTTCTAATTACATTTTACTCTGTACAAGAGCAAGTTTGTAGCTTATTTGCAAGATTGATTTAAAATAATTATATTCAGCAAAAAATGTTTGGATAAATCAATGGTTTATTGCTTAAAACTTAAATTATTGATAAATTAGTGTGTTAAAATATACCTTAATATAAATGTTTCATTCATTTATTAGGGTGAAAAGCATTACTAGAAAACATCAGGAAAAGTTGGCATTTTAATACACAGGATAAATTTAACCTGATTGCTTTTTAAAGCAAATGTCCAAGATGAGGAAAGGTTGGCATTTTAATACATAGGGTAAATTTAACCTGATTGCTTTTTAAAGCAAATGTCCAAGATGAATTTTTTCATTGTAGAAGATGATTCTGATTTTACATTACAGATGTAGAATTTCTATTATTATAAGTCAGAATTGAGCTCTGTTTCTTGTGTAGGTCTATCAAGAATACGTTTAAAGTTTTATAGCCGGATTTTCTTAGCTCAAATGGACATAAAACTTCTGAAATACAGAGGCCTGTCTTTAGTTTTCTCTGCTTTAGATATTGAGATGAGATATTGTGGTCTTCCTAGTTATTTAAGTTGTGAATCGACCCACAGGATTCATGTAATTTTATGACTAAGGACAGAGGACTGGATACTGATAAGTATAACATTATGCTTAGTGTTCCACAATGCTTCAGTGAATGTACAAAGCAGTTCCATCTTTGAAATGTTGTCTATCACTGGATGATCTGTGTCTTCTTACCTAGTACAGGATGTTCAAAACTCTTTATCTGGTAAATTGTATATATTATATATAGGTTATAAAAACATCTACACATTTACTTCTTAGGGGTCTAATGTATTTGGAATTACCATCGAGGGCTCCGAAAGTCTTGTAGCTGTTGTAATTTAGGCATTCATAATAAATAAAAGGTTTAGATCTACGCAACAATTTGAAAGCTTTTTGATTTCATCTGGCTTCGTATGATATTAATCTGTGTGCTACTTAGCATCGGTTTTAGCATATTTAGTGTTCTCCACTGAAGGAATTATTTTTTCTTTCTTGCATGTTAGAAGTGTCAAACTTTGGTTTCTTTATTTCATTTCAGTTTTGAGCAGCTCAAAATGGCAGTCACCAACCTAAAGAGACAGGCTAACAAGAAGAGTGAGGGCAGCCTGGCCTATGTGAAAGGCGGTCTCAGTACATTCTTCGAAGCACAGGATGCCCTCTCAGGTAAGGCGATCCTCAGAGCCATCTGCTGGCAGCTTCCGCCATGGAAACCCGGCACTGCCTGCAGGGTGTTTACAGGGTGTGACACTCGGTCTGTTTTTATCAAAGTAGAGATCTCAAATGTGCTATAAATATTTGTTGCAGAGTAGGCTGGCATCTCTTTGAAGACTTGGTACTTTAAAAATTTATCTCTGAGGCTTTTGTTAACCCATCTTACATGTGTGAAATGGGAGACTACTTTAACTCTCTGTGATGTCCACACTCCAGGGCTGATACGAAATTAAATCCCAATGCACAACCACCAATATCTTACATATGTGACTAATTCTATAAATGCAACCCATTGTGTGTTCACTTTGGAAAGGCTGATGATAGGATACCAGTCTCTTCAGCCCTTATCGCACAGGCGCCCACGTATGCACGCAGGTAGCTGTCACTGTGCCATCTGTGTATGGGAGGGACGTTGTATGGAGTACAGATGTCATAGCTTTAGACATTTTAATGCAAGATGTTGGTAGAGTTTTTTTTTTATAAAACTGCTTTTAATTAATGAAAGTTTAATTATTGCTATTTAGTAAAAAGTAATCTATATCAATAAAAGTTAACTCAATTCTTTTTAATAGCTAAGATACTTAAAACTAAATACCCATATAGCTTAAGTATCCATAACTCTAACCATGCATTGAGGCCACATCTTCTTCAATTCAGGAAGGTAAATTTTAAAAATTATTTTTATTCCTAAAGTATAGACATTCTTTTATTATTTTAAAAGTCCCCCTCCTCCCTCTCTACTAAAAATACAAAAAATTAGCCAGGCGTAGTGCATACCTGTAGTCCTAGCTCCTTGGGAGGCTGAGGCTGGAGAATTGCTTGAGCGTGGGAGGCGGAGGTTGCAGTGAGCCGAGATCGCGCCACTGCACTCCAGCCTGGTGACAGAGCGAGACCCCATCTCTAAATAAATTAAATAAATAAATAAATAAATAAGCCCCCCTCTTCCTGTGCCATATATACTTAATTGACCTCCAACACATTAAATGTGTATGTGATGCAGTGTATGTGATGCAGCTTCTTCCTTGCAGGTAGAAGTTAGTTTTTTTTTTTTTTTTTTTTTGAGACGGAGTTTCGCTCTGTCGCCCAGGCGGGAGTGCTGTGGCGCGATCTCAGCTCACTGCAAGCTCCGCCTCCCGGGTTCACGCCATTCTCCTGCCTCAGCCTCCCGAGGAGCTGGGACTACAGGCGCCCGCCACTGCGCCCGGCTAATTTTTTGTATTTTTAGTAGAGACGGGGTTTCACCGTGTTAGCCAGGATGGTCTCGATCTCCTGACCTCGTGATCCGCCCGCCTCGGCCTCCCAAAGTGCTGGGATTACAGGCGTGAGCCACCGCGCCCGGCAGAAGTTAGGTTTTTGAAGGGGTAAAATGTGAATGTCTAAGAGGGAACAGAGAAGGTAGGTGCTCTTCCTGATAAATATGTGTGCCTTATGTTTCTTGATGGTGTGCCATTCTTTATTTGTGCTTATTGCTCTTCTCTCTAAATTACCACTGACAGCACATAGAGCAACACAGAGAGATCCACTATTGTCAGTGGACTATGTAGACTAGGAATTACATGGTTCAAATTTGACAGAGCTGATATGTAAAGTTGCTCGGGTAAGTTGTTTTTACTTTTCTGTTATGAAAATTTTGAAATGTGAAAAGTGGAGATGAAAGTATAATCTCCCAAGTAAGGGCAAGGACATTTATGTGCATAATCACAATGATATTATCATAGTTAACCAAATTGGCAATAATTGTTTAATATCATCTCATTCCCAGTTCAGATTTCTCAAATTATCCCCAAACTTTATTTTTATAGGTGATATGTCCAAATCAAGATTCAAATAAAATTCAGGCATTTCACTTAATTTTTAAATCTCTTAAGCCTCTTTTAAACTAAAACCATCCCCTCACCTT
This sequence comes from Homo sapiens, assembly GCF_000001405.40. Taxonomy (NCBI): domain Eukaryota; kingdom Metazoa; phylum Chordata; class Mammalia; order Primates; family Hominidae; genus Homo; species Homo sapiens. The sequence goes on along the minus strand of NC_000006.12, from coordinate 615,762 downwards.
TCTTACCCTGTTTCTGGTTTTTCTTTTTTTTTTTTTTTCTTTTGAGATGGAGTCTCACTCTGTTGCCCAGGCTGGAGTGCGGTGGTGCGATTTCAGCTTACTGCAACCTCTGCCTCCTGGGTTCACATGATTCTCCTGCCTCAGCCTCCCAAGTAGCTGGGATTACAGGTGCCCACCACCACGCCCAGCTAATTTCCACGCCCAGCCTGTTTCTGGTTTTTCATGCTATTGATTTGTTGAAGAAACAAGGTCATTTGTCCTGGAAGATATCCCCCACTCTGAATTTGACTGATGACTTCCTTGTGGTGTCATTTAACTTATTTTTCTTGCCATTAAATTGCTTGGACTCATCTAATTGGATATTAGATAAGATTCACTTTCAACACTTTTAGGCATGGATAGTGCTGTGCTTCCTGTTTCATCACACCAGGCAGGAGTGCATTCGTGTCTGGGGTCTCCTGAACAGACACTGCAGTGGATCAGTAGCTTCAAGGGGGGACTGGGAACGAACAGGTGAGACAGATAGATAAATATGTATGTATACACATACATACACACACACACACACACACACACACACCCACACCCACATATACTTTTCAAACCTCTACTGTCTCTGCTTTATTTTGGTTTGTTTTCCCTGAAATTCTCTATTAAGATTTTCATGTTTTATTAGCATTGCATTCTAATTTTTAAATCATTTAAAATTCATGTTATAGGCCCTTTCGTTATCTGTTTAGTATTTGTATGTTCTGTGTGATTTTTTTAACATTGATTCTTCAGAGATATCTTTTTTGTGTTTTTAAAATGTGTATTGTAATTTTCCTCCTTAGTAGTTTTTAGTAAATTTTTGTTTTCATAGTCTCTGTTCTCATAGTATTGTGAACAGAGAATATGTTTCTTAATATATATTTAAGTTTTTGTAAGTATGCCAAAAATTAAAAAGGACGGACGGATGTGGTTTCTTCAGGGTCCACTATTTGATATAGTATCAATGCCTGATTGATTATATTATTTAAATATAGCTTATTTATATTAAACATGACAGACAAATCTCTTTCTTTAATTTGGATTCTGTCGGCTTTTCTTCATATGTAAAGCATGTATTTACTTTGTCACTTTTGATGGTTTAGATTCTCTTGATGATAATATATTTATAAGTAGTCCCCAAGATTACCCTCAGTTTGGTGTTTTGCTAGAAGGACTCACAGAACTCAGTGAAAGCTGTTGTACTCAGACTTATGGTTCATTACAGGGAAATTACAGGTTATAGTCAGCCAGGGATAGAGATTCATGGAGCAGGTCTAGGAAATTTTCATCCATGGAGCTTCCAGTAGTCTCCCAGTGGAATTGCAGGCAGCACTGACTTTCCTGGTAACAGTCCGTGACACACACATGGAGTACTTGCAGCCAAGGAAGCTCCCCAAACCTTGTTGTCCAGATCCGGAGTCTGTAGTACGGCCCCGTCACATGGACATGGTCAAGGCCGACTTCAATCTTCATTCCCTCAGATCAGGCTGATATTGAGTGACCCTAAGTCCTCACCGTAAATTCCATTGTTAGATTATCTAGTGTGGCCCGTGGTCCACAGGCAAACAAAGACACTCTTATCAGGCAGAACATTTCAAGAGTTTAGAGATTACCTCCCAGGACCTAAGGACAAAGGCCAGACCTTTTGGGGGGCAAGATTAAATTCTTTGGTGCATAATAACATGATATTAATATTTTATACCCTTCCTTTTATATACATTGGCTTGATATATTATTTGTAATATTCTTTGTAACCTTTTAGAAATTTTTCTTTTGGCATGTGTCTTGTGTTGCTACATGTGGCAGGATTTTTATTTTTTATTATTTTATTTTATTTATTTATTTATTTAAATTATACTTTAAGTTTTAGGGTACATGTGCACAACGTGCAGGTTTGTTACATATGTATACATGTGCCATGTTGGTGTGCTGCACCCATTAACTCATCATTTAACATTAGGTATATCTCCTGATGCTATCCAAATACTATTCTGAGAGCCTTTGCTCTGAGTTGACCAGCAGTGGATGCCTCCTCCCGGTTTCCTTCTGTTTTCCTGCCATTCTGGGATGTGGGGAAATTGTTCTCCAAATGGTTATCAAAGGAAACGAGCTGTGTGGTTAAGAAAAATGGGGGAACAGAACTGTAGTCCTGAAGATGGTTATGGAAACATTGGAAAATGTTTCTGGTCTGTGCCATCCTTGTGTTCCAGTGTTGGGCACAGGGGACAGGTACAAATCAGAGCCCTTCTCTGCTCTTTTTTTGTTGTTTTTTTCTTTCTTTCTTTCTTTTTTTTACATCATCTGCATTCTTCAGTTCCATCCAGTGGACTATTTCATACCCAGTCCAAGTCTGGTTTTTTTCAGTCCATCCCAACCCGGTATTCCATTAGTAGCTTTTGTTCATCCTTAAGTTTTTATGCCATTGTCGGTTTTGTTTCTTCCTGTGTGTCCCCACAGGTATTTTAATTAGAACTTGACAAGAAGTGTGTCTGGCATAACACCTGCCAATAGCAACCTTGGTATGTTTAGTACAGTTTTTTTTCTTTATTCTGCAAAAATGTTTCTAGCACCAGACTTCATTTTGCCATGGCCTTCCCTCTGTCATTCCCTTCTGTTCCCTTGAAGTGGGAGTGACCTGTGGGTTGTTAGCAGATACTGCTCACGCTGGTCCTCCTGGGTGGTGGTGAGGTTCCTGGAGCTGTTTGTAGTGTGAAAGGCCTTCCTGAGCTCCTTGGTGCCTCTGGGCACCTCCTTTGTTTTGGTGGCGATTTCCCTGAATGCCCCTTGAGCTTGTGCATTTAGTGACCTGTATAATCTCTTGTTTTTAGCGGCAAGTCCAGCATTATCACTTGCCCCTTTCAAGAACAACTGTGGGTCAAAACTGTGTGAGTGAATATTCGTTATGGTACACTGGGGTAAAAAGCCGAAACAGACTAAATTACGCATGTTCCTCCCTGCGCTCTGTCTTATTTGTCTTCCTTCCCCTGTTCCTTTTATTGCTGCTGCTTAACTCTGTGTGGCTTGAGCCGTAATTGATTTTTTGACACATTCTGTTGTTAGTGTCTATTGATGTATGAAGATAATTCAGGTAGGTATCATTTTCTGGGACTCAGTTATCTAAGTGAGAATCATTCCTGTTACTCTTCTGTGTAATAGTTGCAATTATTTTACTGTTTGTTTATTTTCTTTAGTATAATTTGGGAAGAAAAGGAACCACAGATTACGTAACCAGTTTAAATATAATTTATATATGATTTGTCTACTCTGATAAAAGTTTGGTAAAATAAGAAATAGAAACTAAATGTTTGAAGGGCTCTCTATCAATTTAAAATATTAATGCATCTTACACTAACCCTTCCTCTTCTCCTACTTTAGTAAATATAATCCTACTCAGAGGTCAGCATGTGAGCCAAATTAGGCCACAGCCTTTGTACAGGCCGGGAGCTAAGCATGGCTGTGTTTTCCCATGCTAAAAACAAAAAAAGAAGAATATGTGATAGAGGCCGTATGTGGCCCACAAAGCCTAAAGTGTTGACTGTTTGGTTCTTCATAGCAATAGTTTGCTCATCTGTCATCCGGCTTGAATATTCCTGTCTCACACAGGCTAGCATTAACATAGATTGGTTAGAGCATATACATACTTCTGTGCCCAACACTGGATCCTTTAGATACTACCCTACACAGACATTATTCCTTGGTGCCTCGTTTAACAATGATATTTACATAAATGCATGGATGGATATTATGAATTTCTTATTGTAATTGCAAATTTGATATCTACATTTTATTTGAGTGTTAAAATGATCAAATAATTGTAGTGAAGTAATAGGCAGTCTTTCTATAACCTTGATTTTTCTTTGAGAAGTACTGTTGTACATACTTTTTTTTGTTTCTCAAATACAAACTTATAATGTTCAACTGCTTCACATATTTAAGTTTTAATAGATTAGAAACAATAACAAACCTATGATCATGTACCAAGTTGCTTATTGAGTTATTCTACTTAAAGATGTTTTCAGAGAAAATAAAAGGTCAAGTGAACCAGACATTGGGTTATTTGGTTTAATTTTCTGGAAAATAGGATTGCCTTTATCAGATCCCAGTGTCTCTCAGTCCTCATGCTTGGCTGACAGCTTGGCAGTGGCTCTGCTGTGGTGGAGATGGGCGGAGGAAGTTAGTCTGTCAGCAAAAAGGGCTGTAAACTGAGCCGGGGGGCCAGGGTCACCTCATCTTGACCTGCTCATCAGTGATGGGTTTTGTCAGCATCAGAAAATGTGGCTACATGATTTCCTTTAATGCTAATTTTGACTTAGAAAGCAACCTGTGGAGCAGGGCTACTGTGGGGTGTGACATCTCAGCGCAGTGTCTGTTCATTGCAGCTGCAGTGGGTGCCCACTCGGTGCAGCTGCAGTGGGTGCCAGGTGTCCTTCTCAGCCAGGACTATCAGAACATCACAGCAGCATTTAAACCAAGAGGGAGAGCAGATCTGCACACATGCAGCATGGAAGTCTTTCCAGTTTAGCTTTCTAATGCTTAGGCATAGTCCATCTCCTTTCCTTACAGAGAGGGAAGGAAGTTCCTTTCCGTTTCAGCTTTCTAATGCTTAGGCATAGTCCATCTCCTTTCCTTACAGAGAGGGAAGGAAGTTCCTTTCCGTTTCACTTAGTAAGTTGAACCCCAGTTTCAGCTTTGGTATGTAGAAACATCTTATGTCACTGTTACCACACAATTCAAATTTTGAAACATTACAGAAATTACTTTCTCCTCACTCCAAGTCAACCAAGACAATTCAACTGCAGTAGCTGGGTTCTTCCCCAAATATACTCCTTCTTTCTCTGAATGTGTTTCTTTGATAGAGGAGCAGTCTGTTTATTTTAGAATTTCAAAGAAAATTTGAGGTGGCTTACAGAAAGAAAAAAAGATGAAAAATAACAAGATCATAATTAGAAACTAAAAGGAGCAGAGAGATAGATATTAGCAGGCATTGAGTGTGTATTCATAGTGCATTTGAGAACCGAATTTACTCAGAATTTTCTGACCAATTATCTGAAATGCTTGGGACCCAGCAATGTTTCAGATTTCAGATTTTTTCAGATTTTTAAATATTTGCATTACCTAGTTACTGGTTGAACATCCCAAATCTGAACATCTGAAATGTGAAGTGCTCCAATGAACATTTCCTTTGAATGTCATGTGAGTGCTTCAAGTTTCAGATTTTGGAGCATTTTGGATTTTCGGATTGGAGATACTCAACCTGTGTAATGAGACCCAGGATGCCTCAAGTCTCCCTTTTCTTTTTCAATTCAACTGTTTTTACCACTTGTTCTTGAAGACAGATGATTATGTGTGTTAGGTACTATTTTAATAGTGTTAAACTGTGAATAACTTAGACTGGTGTCTGCTGGGTACCTTGTACAGGGTAGCATGTTTTTGCTGCTTTTCAGCAGTGAAAATAATATGACCATTTTAAAAAGCTGTTTAAAAATATCATTTTGATTTAATGTATCTCCACCCATTAAAATGGCCTACATTTTAACTAGATTTTTTTTTCTAGCCATCCATCAAAAACTAGAAGCAGATGGAACGGAAAAAGTAGAAGGATCCATGACGCAGAAACTGGAGAATGTTCTGAACAGTAAGTTTTGTCCTACTACCCAGAACTATTTATGGATTTTACAACATGCTTTAAAATTAGTTCTTGGACCTGATATCGCGGGACAAGGCAGTAAGTTGCATTTTACTATTTATTTCTAAATAGTAGTGATTTAATGAACACAAAGGAGAATAGAAACATTGAAAATGAATGTTCTGTTTCTGCTTGCATTTTATTTATGAGAAATCATAATTTGAAAACAATCCAATATACTTCTTAAGAAATAAAGTTTCCTACCCTAAAACCAACCAGCATATAAACAGCATCTTCAAAGCGAGGAAAGCACTGAAGCAGTAGCCAGGATTGTCACTGACCAGCAACGTGGAGGAGCCATCATCAGGCGTCTCCCAGCATTAATGCAAATAACCTCAGCCACAAGAGTAACAGATTCTTAGGGGTCATTTATTTGTGTATAACTTGCCTTTTTCTAAAAAAGAATTTAAGGCAGCTGGCTATTTAAGAAGGTGTCTAAATCTGAGATATTTTGTAAAAATTATAGGCCCAGGGAAAATGGCTATGTGCAAAGTTTTGAGTTCTGTCCACGTCCCTTGTCTGTCCTTTTTCTGATGTCCTAGGTCCCAGCTACTTATCCTGCTGATTTAGAAGAAAGTGATCAGATGAATTAATCCTTACTATGATGTTAGTGGCTTAAAAATAAGTCATTTAAAATAAATCTTTTCACAACTATAGTTTACATTTGATAGGAATGCCCATGGGCATCTCCTTAGGTTTAAATATAATGTACAATCTCATCAGGAAGTAGAGTTAAGAATCATTGGAAGAATGAAAAAACCTCACACCAGATCTTTAAAAATTCTGTGAATTTAAGGCTGTGATGTGAAGCTAGTTTTGCCCTTCCGGCTTAAGTGAGTCCCGTGGGTGGAACGTTCTGAGCCTGTATGTGAATATCTTTTCACAAACCTGAGTGATCCCTAAAAGAAAGCATTTTCTAGAAAGAAGTGTTCTCTTGGTAGTAGCATTTGAGGACTTGGATTTCATTCTAAATTTAGGAATTTAACAGCACTTAATTTTTTCCTCTGATTATTATTACTTAATTGCCCTGAGATCTTCCCTTGTTTTTATCTTTGAGAACCAAGTCACCAATGTTGTTAAAATGAAGATATTCTGAATTTAACTCAAACACTTATTGAAGCTGTTTCTATATTAGCATAGTCAGACATTTTAAGATCTTGGAAGGATATTTTCTACTCAAGGATGTTATTTGCCCTGGAGAAGTTATCAAACTATGATATCTGTATAAAAAACATGTTTACTTCAGTAATTTTAAAAAGGTGGCTTATAGGAACAGTTGACATAGTAAGTATATGATGGTATCAGAGAAGGAGATCCTTGTTCCGGTTTGGGAAATTCTAGGGTCTGTTTCATGTGTTAGGCTTACCATAGTGTGGTAATGTGATTTTTTTTATTTCTTTGAAGCAGTAGTTTGAGAAATCGTCCCTTGGGACTTGGGGTATTAAAAATTGCCTTTTTCCATATATTCCTTTATAACCATGAATTTTTTTTTCCAGAAAAGTGTCGTATTAACTTTCTATTGAAGTTTGCTCTTTTTGGATAAAGTTCAGCTTAATATAAATGGTCACTTCTTTATGAGACCATTCGTCAGGACTTTTTGCTATTAAAATTTCCCTAAAATACATTTCTTTATAACAATTCCCCCTTTTCTAGAAACATTTTTTAACAACATGATGTTGATTGCTGTCTTAGGATATGTTTTTCCTAATTCAGGTCAACTTGACAGACGTTTATTTAACTCTGGTTGTGTCAAGCCCCGTGCTAAGCCAGCCTGGGAGCAAAGCCGGAGGGGATGCAGCTCTGGCCCCGAGAGAGTCCCGCCCAGGCGGGTTCGTAGTTATCAGACTTCAGTACTGCAGAACTGGTGAAAACAGAACTAAAGTCACAAAGATTCAGTCAGTTCTGTTGAAAATTGAATTTATTTTGTTGTAGAAAGGAAGGAAAGCATAAATGAGTATGAGTGTCATTTACTTCACTTAGATGATTACTAATGCTTTTTACCTGATGTATAATTATATACTAATGTATATGGATATTTCTTCAGTTTTTTTAAAAGATTTTTTTTTAAATTGGGCAATCTTTCTGACTTTTAAGCTAAGTTTCTAAAGGATACTGTTGGCTGCAGGAAACTTAGGTCATTTATTCAGAGTTTATCAGTTTTGACACTTTCTTTTGAAATTGTTAAAAAAAAGAAATTGTTTTTTGTTTTCATGATATGTGTTTCTCATGTCTGTGTTTGAACTTAATAACTTATTCTTGATTTCAAGCCAATGATGACTATTAGTTTATTTACATCAAATTTGCATATTCAACTCTGTGTTCTTACCTGTTTCAAATATATAGAACAGCATTGTTCAATAGAATTTCTGCAATGATGAAAATGTAGCTACTGAGCACTTCCAATGTGACTAGTACAACTGAGGAATTGAGTTTTAAATTTTTATTTAATTTTAATTAATTCTGCTTTAAATTGAAATAGTCCCGTGTGGCTGGTAGTTACTGTGTTAGACAGTGCAGGTGTAGACATGCTGTGTAAGTATTTGTAGCAGTAGCTGTGGCAGTCGTAGCTCACGCTTGTGGAGGGCCTACTGCAGGGCAGGTGTTGCTCGAAACTATCTAGGTATATTTAGTCCTCACAACAACACTTTGAGGTTTGTGCTGTTATCTTCGCTTTATTGATGAAAAAAACTAAAGCCCAGAAGATTAATTGAGCCATGTAAGGTTATGTAAGTAGTAAGTAGCAGAGCTGCAATTTATATCCAGAAATATGGCTCCAGACTTGTGCTTTGAACTGCAGGCAGGCCGTGCTGTGTGTGTGGTTTTGATAGGCGCAGGTTTCAGTCATCACGGTTCAGTTCATGACAGCCGTCCCCCAGCAACACCGTGGAGAACTGCGGTTCCCACAGGGCAGTCACCATAGCTGCATAAAGTACAGTTCCCCTCCAGCCCTTTAATTCACACGTCGCTGTGTAAATGACAGGTGCTCTGGATGATCAGCCACACTGCCTCCTTCAAGGCCACCAGCGATAGTCACTGTACGTCTGTTACCAGTTCTCAGCAGACAGCAAAGTGTGCAGTTGTGCTACCTCCTTATCTCCCAGTGACAAACCCTCCTGACATTTTACAAAAATGGATGATCGGGAAGGGATTGGTCGATAAAGATGAAAGTGCATCAAAAACCAGGAAGCTCTAACACTGGAAGTGAAACGCAAATCCACCAAATGGAGAGTGACGGAAGGAATAGCTGGCTGTGGGGATGTAGGTCCTCCTGTCTTTGAGACTCAAGAGTAACTCAGTGGAGGGGAACTTCCCAACAAAGGTGAGCAAATGTGAAGAAAAGCATGAGATGTCCCAAAGGAAGCAATGCTCAGAGAACCTCAGAGATGTTTCATGATGTGGACGGTGCAAAGGAAAAAATATCAGAAGTTGATTCACGCTTAGAAAGGAGCAGGATAATCTGTCAGAGCACAGAAAAGAGGCTTGATTCATATTGTAAATATTACAACAAAAAAGAAGGCAAACACTCTTGATAAGTTTTTCTACAAAGAAATATGACGCTTTAATTTTAAATGTTTCTGATGTTTTATTTTTTATTTTTTTTCTTGTGATGTGGAGATTCTTTTTTTTATTATTATACTTTAAGTTCTAGGGTACATGTGCACAACGTGCAGGTTTGTTACATGTGTATACATGTGCCATGTTGGTGTGCTGCACCCATTAACTCGTCATTTACATTAGGTATATCTCCTAATGCTATCCCTTCCCCCTCCCCCAACTCCACGACGGGCCTCAGTGTGTGATGGTCCCCTTCCTGTGTCCAGGTGTTCTCATTGTTCAATTCCCACCTATGAGTGAGAACATACGGTGTTTGGTTTTTTGTCCTTGTGATAGTTTGCTGAGAATGATGGTTTCCAGCTTCATCCATGTCCCTACGAAGGACACGAACTCTTCCTTTTTTATGGCTGCATAGTATTCCCTGGTGTATATGTGCCACATTTTCTTAATCCAGTCTGTCATTGATGGAAACTCACTCAAAACTGCTCAACTACATGGAAACTGAACAACCTGCTCCTGAATGACTACTGGATACATAACAAAATGAAGGCAGAAATAAAGATGTTCTTTGAAACCAACAAGAACAAAGACACAACATACCAGAATCTCTGGGACACATTTAAAGCAGTGTGTAGAGGGAAATTTATAGCACTAAATGCCCAGAAGAGAAAGCAGGAAAGATCTAAAATTGACACCCTAACATCACAATTAAAAGAACTAGAGAAGCAAGAGCAAACACATTCAAAAGCGAGCAGAAGGCAAGAAATAACTAAGATCAGAGCAGAATTGAAGGAGATAGAGACACAAAAAACCCTTCAAAAAATCAGTGAATCCAGGAGCTGGCTTTTGAAAAGATCAGCAAACTTGATAAACCGCTAGCAAGACTAATAAAGAAGAAAAGAGAGAAGAATCAAATAGATGCAATAAAAAATGATAAAGGGGATATCACCACCGATCCCACAGAAATACAAACTACCATCAGAGAATACTATAAACACCTCTACGCAAATGAACTAGAAAATCTAGAAGAAATGGATAAATTCCTGGACACATACACCCTCCCAAGTCTAAACCAGGAAGAAGTTGAATCTCTGATGTTTTAAATTGTATATTAAATATTAGTTGTACTTTAAAAAATTGTTATTCATTCGTAACCAACAATAAGTGAGTTTTTAATGTTTCAACAAACGTTTTTGGATATCACAGAACAAATGTAATTTTCCCATTGATTATTAGATGGTCTTGCTGGATTTTAGCTTGCACAGCCCCTGTCATAGCCCTGCACACTGTGCAAAGCCAGGCCTGCCCATGGGGTGTTGTACCACCTCTCTGAGTAGTAAGAATACTGGTCATTGATTCAGACAGCAATTTTTAGTCCTTCCTCTGTAAGCATTTATTGAGCACATGTTTGTTTTATCCTAGGGATATAAAAATAAAACTTGTACTTTACTTCTAGAGATTATAACTGAATGGAAAATACACATATTCAGGTGATCAAATGATGGTTTGATAATACTGCTCTGGTGGGAGTCCTCAGGTGTGGCTACAGCCCACAAAAGGGGAAGCAAGCCAAAAAGTTGAGTGCAGAGAATACCAGGGGAGGACACAGGAGCCTTAAGAGAGGAGCAGGAAGTACCCAGACAAGCAGAGGCCGGCGGTGGGCGGCTGAGTGGAGGGAGGCAGGTGTGTCCCCGCGGGGCCAGCGCGTGAGTTCAGAGACAAGCAGAGGCCAGCGGTGGGTGGCTGAGTGGAGGGAGGCAGGTGTGTCCCCGCAGGGCCAGCGCGTGAGTTCAGAGAGGAGATAGGCCGCAGCCCAGGAAGCAGGGTCCAGTGTGGCTGTGTGCAGATAGGAGAGGTGTGGCCGCAGGGTAGACGAGGTCTGCCCCTGACGAACTGGCTGTGCAGTAGTGTGGAATCTGTCTTTATTCTGAAGACAAATAGTGAGCCATCGCAGAAGTTTAACAGAACGATAGGAGATTTTTAAAGAGCAATCTGCCATCTGTATAGAGAATGGACGAGAAGGGAGGTACGCCAGAGGCAAGAGGAGAGCAGCCAGAAGTGGACGGTAGGCATGTTAAGCCAGGTCAGCAGTAATGTGTGTAGTAATGGAATAAAGTAACGTGAGGGTGACGTGGCTGCTAGTGAAGGTAGAGCGAGTGGCAGGTGAGAAAGGTGAAGGGACAGGGAAGGTTTGACATGTTACATAGGGAAAAGGAAGTAGTCATTGGTGATTTACAGATGTCTGGCCTCAGATGGATGAAGGAGCACGTTTGGCGCATAAGGAGAGGCATAGAGATGAGAACATTCAGTTCAACATGTTGAATTTGAGATTCCTGAGGGTCGTGCTGATGGGTTTTGCTAGCTCTCACTATGTCCCCATGATGTCACACTGGGCAACTTGAATAACCTCTGTGTCTCAGTTGCCTCCAACATAAAACGGGGGTAAAAACAGTGCCTGTCTTACAGCGACATAACCATGTGCAGGTGAACTAATACCCATGAGGGTTTTCGAATCACACCTGGCATAGCATCAGTGCTTCCTGTCGTTATTAGCTGTCATTATTGTATGTCCAGTGAAAATATTCCTGTCATTATTAGCTATCATTATTGCATGTCTAGTGAAAATATTTTTAAGGATTGGTCTTACGCTCGCAAACACATCTTGAAACACAGATTTGGGAGTCACCAGCATAAAGATGGTAGTTGGACAAACAGGATTGAATGATTTAACCCAAGTACCACGTGCAAAATGAAAGAAGAATGCTAAGGATTTGGAACACTAGGGAATATCCAGAAGGGCCAGGATGTGGAAAAGAAACTGACGTTTGCTCAGTGGCTGGCTGGCAAATATTTCACAACATGCATTCAAAAAAAAAAAGAAGAAGATAGAAAAAATTAACCTAATATTAGCATTTCCCAATTTCCAAGGTGTAAATACTCCCATTGGGGTTGGTTTCAAGCTGCCAACTCAGCTTGGAGGTGAAGAGATACTGACAGTTGCTCTTGAGAGGGGTACGTGCTGACGTCAGCTCTTTCCTCAGTTCCATCTACTCCACACAGAGTGTCAGGCATAGTGCTGTGAAACAGGCTTTCAGTACTGTTAATGATCCTGTCCGTATAGCATCGTTATGGTATAGCCGGCAGCCTATCTCGTCATTTTCTAGCCTGTTGAAATTGAGGTAGTTAGGTCTCTTTGTGAATTTGTACATTTTAGGGTTACTCTGATATTCCAGGCACCCTAATGTTTCACTTCCTAATCTCATTCAACTTGCTTATTCCTGGGATACATTGTGCTGTGGTGGGTGGGGTAGCAGGTGAGGGGGCGTTCCTTCTGTCCTGCCTCTGACCTCTCCAATTCACAGCAAGTGGAGAGCAGATTAGAAATCACTTCCGTGATCTGTCTCAAGTGTCAGTACCAAGGAAAGGACCAAATGGTCACTTTGAAATAAGAGAAAGCATAATATTTACTTTAAATAAACATGGTTGAAATTATAAGACACCATCAGAATTACAGGACTAGGTTTTCTAGATGACTGGAGTTCCTGGCACATACAAAGATGTTTGTTCCGTTGTTAAGGATGTAAGATCACTGGGCAGGTATGAGTTCCACCGACTGGTGTGTAATGCTACCTGGACTTTCCTTCCCATCTTGCACTGTAGGGAAATTTTACTGCTCCACAGACCCGACTACACTGGTGGCAACCACGCTGTGTTTACATCATTGCTGTTAGTTCTTGCAGTTCCTGTGTGACCGAGACAGTGAGAGGCATTGTCCAAATTCACTGGTGCTGGAGACCATCTTTGGGTGAGGAGAAAGGACCAAGTTCCAGACCTTGGTTTGCCCAAGGCTGGCAAATAGAGATCAGGGTTTGTCCTACAGCCTATGAGGCCAAAGTCATGGCCATCCACTCCAGGTGGACTTGTTCTGTGGTTGGACACTGATGTTCAAACCCTTACCAGCTGCCTTAAAATTGGGTGTTCTTGGTGTGAGAATGTGTGTGGATTTGCACACGGGGTGTTCTTGGTGTGAGAATGTGTGTGGATTTGCACACGGGGTGTTCTTGGTGTGAGAATGTGTGTGGATTCGCACACGGGGTGTTCTTGGTGTGAGAATGTGTGTGGATTCGCACACGGGGTGTTCTTGGTGTGAGAATGTGTGTGGATTCGCACACGGGGTGTTCTTGGTGTGAGAATGTGTGTGGATTCGCAGACGGGGTGTTCTTGGTGTGAGAATGTGTGTGGATTCGCACACGGGGTGTTCTTGGTGTGAGAATGTGTGTGGATTCGCACACGGGGTGTTCTTGGTGTGAGAATGTGTGTGGATTCGCACACGGGGTGTTCTTGGTGTGAGAATGTGTGTGGATTCGCACACGGGGTGTTCTTGGTGTGAGAATGTGTGTGGATTCGCACACGGGGTGTTCTTGGTGTGAGAATGTGTGTGGATTCGCACACGGGGTGTTCTTGGTGTGAGAATGTGTGTGGATTCGCACACGGGGTGTTCTTGGTGTGAGAATGTGTGTGGATTCGCACACGGGGTGTTCTTGGTGTGAGAATGTGTGTGGATTCGCACACGGGGTGTTCTTGGTGTGAGAATGTGTGTGGATTCGCACACGGGGTGTTCTTGGTGTGAGAATGTGTGTGGATTCGCACACGGGGTGTTCTTGGTGTGAGAATGTGTGTGGATTCGCACACGGGGTGTTCTTGGTGTGAGAATGTGTGTGGATTCGCACACGGGGTGTTCTTGGTGTGAGAATGTGTGTGGATTCGCACACGGGGTGTTCTTGGTGTGAGAATGTGTGTGGATTCGCACACGGGGTGTTCTTGGTGTGAGAATGTGTGTGGATTCGCACACGGGGTGTTCTTGGTGTGAGAATGTGTGTGGATTCGCACACGGGGTGTTCTTGGTGTGAGAATGTGTGTGGATTCGCACACGGGGTGTTCTTGGTGTGAGAATGTGTGTGGATTCGCACACGGGGTGTTCTTGGTGTGAGAATGTGTGTGGATTCGCACACGGGGTGTTCTTGGTGTGAGAATGTGTGTGGATTCGCACACGGGGTGTTCTTGGTGTGAGAATGTGTGTGGATTCGCACACGGGGTGTTCTTGGTGTGAGAATGTGTGTGGATTCGCACACGGGGTGTTCTTGGTGTGAGAATGTGTGTGGATTCGCAGACGGGGTGTTCTTGGTGTGAGAATGTGTGTGGATTCGCACACGGGGTGTTCTTGGTGTGAGAATGTGTGTGGATTCGTACACGGGGTGTTCTTGGTGTGAGAATGTGTGTGGATTCGCACAAGGGGATTTTATGGGATGACCTTTGTTGATGCCTTCCTGGTGGCGTTATCTGTGACATCAGCCTCACATGTGAAGAGCACCCCTTTTCTTCAATAGTTTTGTTTTCTTATTAGTAGCCCTAAAGAAGAAAGACATAAAATGCATTTTGTGAGCTACTGGTGATTTTTATCTATTTGCACAAATCTTGGTTTCACTGCCCTCATGTATTTTATTACTGAATACATTATCTGATAATCAGAGTTAGGAACTTCAGTTTTATTGTGAATACAATTAAATTTACAGCAGAACAGTAATTTACAGACAGAAGTTATCTCTAAATTAAAAATTATAATCTCATAACTTATAATTTGTCAGTATTCACATAAAATTTTCAACATATAAGTACATGTATTTTGGCATAAATAAACATAATTTTATAGTTTATAATTTCTGCATATAAATTTTTCTCTGTCTCTATTTTATTTAATTATAAGTGAGTTTTCTTCCTGTACTTGTTTTCATACTTTTTAGAGAAGTTAAAATTATTAGTTGATAATATTTTACGACTTTAATAAGATGAGAAAAATCTAATTTTGAATTCATACTTTTTGCCCCAAATTTCATTATACTAAAAACTAATAAAAAATGTAAAACAACAGTGCTTGGTGATTTAACATCCAAACCTAACATATAAGTAATTAACCTTTTAAAAAGATTTAGTCTCCTTTACATATCTATTCATTTATGAGCCTCAATTCTTGAAATTTATATTTTTTAAGTGATAAATACTTTAAAATAGTTTTCTTTGATGACCAAAAGTTTTAACCCTAATCAGATTTCAAATACTAATTTAGCCTCCATTGTGTGGTTTGGTGGCAAGAAGGAAATATATTTTTTCTCATCTTATAATAGAAATGTAGAATTCTACTTAAATAGCATGTGGTGAAAACAGTTATCTTGACAAAACAAAGTTTTTATATGAGGCCTTTAAAATTTCAACAGAATTTAAACATTATTTAGATAAAACAATCATGTTACAAAGATGACTTTTAACAGGATCAGGCCACCCACAGTGTGCTCTAGAGAATATTGCATGCGAGCCACCCAGTGAGACTGAGGCAATTTTTTCATCTTTGCTTAAAGTATAGTCACTAGACCAGATAATGCAGAAACTTTTTACAAGCAGCGATCAAACAGGCAAAAACAGTTTATCTTTTTTCTCTCCTTTCGTTGTGGAATTAAAACTAATTCACAAGTTGCAAAATTTAAACTGTTTTTGTACACAGCAAATTTTGCTTTAAATAAAGCAACTCTTTCATTACAGTGATTCATATGGTTTGGGGTCTTTTAGGTGAAAAAAAAAAAAACTTAGGAAATGTGCAGCTCATGTATACTTTTATAAGATTAGCTGATTTAAGAAATATTCATGATGCTGCCTTCACATTTGTCATTTGTAAATTACTTATATAATTTTCTTTGCCTGCTACGTAGAGGTAATTCTGCCAAGGAATAGAATTTGTTTTAAATATTTCTATTGAGCAACTTTCCTGAAAATGATTTCCTTGTTTTGTTTATTGTCCCATATGTAGATATTGAGTCCGCAGAATTTAGCTAATGTACACGTGTATGCACATACATGCGTATGTGTGTGTTTTACCCTATTGTATGAAGTTCTGAAATAACCTAAGGGCCCATAATTGCTATACAGTTTAGAAGTGTAATGAAAATAAATGTAGGTTCACATTAGAGAATTTATTTGGGCATGGTAAATATGGTGCTTTTTATATTGGATACCATTCTTAACATATGAAAAGACTTAGGCAAAATGGAAATTTTATTTTAGCAAACCATAAAAGATCCCCTAAACTGAAAAACAGTCTGAGTTTTAACGTAAAACTACAATAGCAGTATTAACATTTTGTTTCTAGTGCCCAGTTACACATTTTCTGATTAAAATCAGCTTTCATCTAAGTTTCCTTTCCTCTTTTTAAAACAGGAGCAAGTAATACTGCAGACACATTGTTTCAAGAAGTATTAGGTCGGAAAGACAAGGCAGATTCCACTAGAAATGCACTCAATGTGCTTCAGCGATTTAAGTTTCTTTTCAACCTTCCTCTAAATATTGAAAGGAATATTCAAAAGGTAGAGTACATGTTTATTTATTTACATATGGTTGTAGATGTCATACATTTTTAAGATTTTTTAAGATGTTTTTTATATTAACCAAATGTCTTCATTTTGCATTACTGACAGTTTTCAAAATGTTTCTTTATTTTAAAGGGTGATTATGATGTGGTTATTAATGATTATGAAAAGGCCAAGTCACTTTTTGGGAAAACGGAGGTGCAAGTTTTCAAGAAATGTAAGATTCATGTATTACTTTTAGATCTTCTCCTTTCCTTTTATAGGAAGAATGTGGAATGTGTTCTGCAAAGAATGTTATATGAGTTTTTAGTTTTTGTTTATATGAGGCTCTCTTTACAATGTAAAGCAATTACTTCAGAAATAACAGTATGACTTTTCTTATTTGATACGCAGTGAAAATGAGCAACCACGACTCTAGGTTGTTCGCCTGAGACGTTCTCTGCCGTTTGTTAACCATCACGCTGTTAGAAAGTCTTAGTTTACTGGAAGGAATCAATGACAAGTATTTTCTAGAGATGGAAACCTACATTTTAATCTTCCCGTCTTCAGAGAGACCCATAGACTGAAGAATTCCAACCTCCTTTAAAGGAAGCTCAGCAACTTTTGAAGTTATGTCTAATGCCAGAGTTACAGTCCACCAGGAGAAATATCACAGGGCCTTATTAAATTTAAAAATGAAATCTGTAAGGACCCAGAAAACTAAATTTATTTTTTTATTGTGGTAAAATATACATGCAGTGAAATGTACAGACCTCACATGTTAGAGGTCAGTGAGTTTTGACAAATATGTACACCCTTGTAACCTACATCGGAGATAGTGTTCTGATCACTCTAGACACGGCCCTGGTGCCTCTTAGCCCTCACCCCACAAAAGCAACTACTATTCTGCTTTTTGAAATTTGATATTAAATTTTCATTCTGTAAATCTTGTGTATTCTTTTCTTTTTAAATAGATTATGCTGAAGTAGAAACAAGGATTGAAGCTTTAAGAGAATTACTTCTGGATAAATTGCTTGAGACACCATCAACTTTACATGACCAAAAACGTTACATAAGGTAAATCTTCTGCAAACATTTTGTTGAATCACATGTATCTGTTTGGTACTGTATGCATCTTGTAACCCTTAAGGCTAACTTGAGGGACTTTAGGAGATTGATGAAATGGTGAAGGGGAAGACAAATAGCAGAAATTTAGGGTTATCTGGCGTAGGACATCAAAATTCTTTTGAATACTAATAGATTTGGGAGTAGTTATGGAGTTACTCACTTTTTGAGAAAACTCTGCCATTTTCGGGAAAGGAAAAGTAGTCTCAACCTCTTCCTCCTGCTGAGCAAAGGGGTACCTTGCCTAGTGGGATGGTGTGGGTACCCATAATCTGTGAAGGAGGGGCTCCCTGCATGGCTTAAAGCAGAATACTGTCACACACTGGGTGGGAAATGCATTATGCCACAAGAATGTGCTGCTGCTTAACAGCACAGTAAGTTCTGGAAGGTTTTAACCTTGAATAGCTTTCTGATTTCCAAGCCTTTAGTGGTCAGTGAAAGAGAAATAAAGTCACTAAGTGAGCATACTTTTTAAAAAATTGCAGTAATATTGGGCCGGGCACCGTGGCTCATGCCTGTAATCCCAGCACAGCACTTTGGGAGGCTGAGGCGGGCGGATCACTAGGTCAGGAGTTTGAGACCAGCCTGACCAATGTGGTGAAACCCCATCTCTACTAAAAATACAAAAATCAGCCTGGCATGGTGATGTGCGCCTGTAATCCCAGCTACTCAGGAGGCTGAGGCAGGAGAATCGCTTGAACCCGGGAGGCAGAGGTTGCAGTGAACCGAGATCTCACACCACTGCACTCCAGCCTGGGCAACAGAGTGAGACTCTGTCTTAAAAAAAAAAATTTGCAGTGATATTAAGAGAGGTGAATTTCACAGGATATGAAGAGAAGGCCTTAGAGAGAAACAGTATCACATAATGGGAACTAGCTGTTAACTTTGGGCAACCGACTTGAGTTCTATTTTTCGGTTTCTTCATCTGAAATGGACATGGTAATCAAATCTGCATCTCAGGATAGTTGCAAAGATAATCAGAAATACATTTAAGGGTTTAATACCTCACCCGGCACATAAAAAGTAGTCAGTAAATTTTATGTACATGTAGTTTATGTCAGGGTTTGGAGATAAAGCATATAAATTTTAAGTTTTTTATATCTGTGATTAAAAATATTAACTTCATTTTCTGCTAGGATTTTTTGAGTATGGCCTTTGTTCTCAGAATAAATTATTTTCCAAATTTAATGGTTTTTCCACTTGAATTAGTGAAGTTTATTGACTATTCAGTGGTTGTAAAATGACAGACTATGTATTTATGAATTTAGCTGTGGTCCCCATGTGACCTTTGAAAATAATGTCTCAGGAACAGACACAGTGGCCCAGACCTGTGATCCCAGCACTTTGGGAGGCCAAGGCAGAAGGATTGTTTGAGTCTAAGAGTTCAAGACTAGCCTGGGCAATATAGCAAAACCTGGTCTCTGCAAAAAATCAAAAATTAGCCAGATGCGGGGATGCATGCCTGTAGACCCAGCCACTCAGGAGCCTGAGGCAGTAGGATCTCTTGAGCCCAGGAGTTCGAGACTGCACTGAGATGTGATCGTACCACTGCACTCGAGCCTGGGTGACAGCAAGATCCTGTCTCTGAAAAGAAAAGACTGTCTTGAAAAGAGCGTCTGGCCTGAAAGCTGCTGTGTGTGCAAGTGTGAACGGGGGAAAAGATCCGCACCTGGACCTGTGTCCTAGTGATGAGGCGTACGGCGGGAGTATGAGCCGTCGTCATTGGCAGCACACTAGTATT
Source organism: Homo sapiens (assembly GCF_000001405.40). NCBI lineage: Eukaryota > Metazoa > Chordata > Mammalia > Primates > Hominidae > Homo > Homo sapiens. The sequence goes on along the minus strand of NC_000006.12, from coordinate 596,231 downwards.
GCCCAGGAGGAAGCAAGCAGAGGCAGTGGCGGTGGGATGAAGAGAGGGTGCTGTGTTTGCATGCTGCCACCCCTGCACGTGTGCAGCATGCTCAGGCGCTGTGCGGGATGTGTTCTACATGTCCTCTCTAATCCTGATCACCACCATGAAAGGACGCTTGTGCGGTGCCCATTGTACAGGTGAAAACACGGAAGCTTGCCCAGCACACACAGTGACCCGGGGGACGGGACGCCTGTTTGGCTTCAGAGCCCACTCTTGTTTCTCTCTAAGCTGCCTCCATAAGAAAGAATGTATATAGGGGATTTTCCTGGTTTGTAGAATCCTAGAAATGTAAAGCTGGAAATAAACCACACATTTGTCATCCAACTGCTTTATTTTCTACCTAGAAAGCGACAGAGTTGCAGGGAGGTTGAGCGTAGTGTCCAGGACACGCAGCTGGGTAGCCTCAGACGTCCTGAGGCTGCTGTTTCCTGCCCTGCTCCTTCACTGCGTGTGCTTTGTATATTTCTGGCCTGTTTACACTTGTTATGTTAAACTTGCCTATAGTAGTGTGTTAAATCTTGTTGAGTGTACAAATTCTTTATGTTGTGGGTTACCATCTATATGGATAACTCATGTGCAGTTTTTATGAGTATATAACTTACTGGATATCGTTTAAAAGGTGGTAGTGCCAAAAAAGATTCTTTTAAGGAGCCTTTTAACTACGATTTTTCCTGTCATCTTAAAGGCAAAAGAGCAAAAATATAAACAAGTCAACAATAGTTTATGTATTTGTTAATGATTATTTTATTTACGATGCTTTGAGAAAATACTGAGCAATTGTTACCTTTTTAAATGAAATTTTTAGTCGCTAAGAAATAGAAAAATAAGATCAGAACCAGGTCAAATACCTGTTGGACTTTGAAATTTATGAGCATCAAGTAGGAATAGAGATAGCTTTATCATGAACAAAAATGTATTAGTTTTCTTACATAATCCAGATTATGCATAGTAGAGGGGAAAATCAGATTACCACTATATTGTCTTACTGTTCACAATTTTTTCTAATATCATTCACTATTTTATCTAATTTAAACCTTCCCTATTCTTCTCCCTCTCCTTATTTCTATCTTGATGTTGGCAGGAAGCAAAGCTCTGCATATTCCTTTCCACAGCAGTGTGATCTTATCCCTGGTAGCTGTGAGAAGATCATGTCAGAATATGACTAAAAACTTCCTTTATTCTTAAATTTTAAAATACTGAGCCTGTGTTAATCATAATTAACATTCTTTACATTGCTTTTGAATCTAAAAAGCCTTTTTAAAGTGTTCTTAATATGCAGTTTTAAAAGAAATGGCGATAACATGTATCATTCTAAACAGAGTTTTGAAATGTAACTACTTATTTTTAGCTGCATACTGAAAGGAAACAAGAAACTTATTTGAAGAGCCCAGCACAAGTTGTCATGCTTTTGAACTGAGTCTAGAATTTCTAAAAGAACAACTTTATCTTGCTTTGTAAAACTTTTATAAACTCCTTTACTTTAATACCCGTTAATAAGATGATAGAAAAAGTCTTTTGTTATTAGGTTTTGCAAGGACACAGTCAACATTTTAAAGAGACGTATAATGTAAAAAGCCACTAAGCAAAGCTTATTGATTCCTCTTGCTGTACTCCTGGAGAAAGAACCCTTGTACGGAACTGTCTACACTCCTATTCAGTAATTTAAACATTAAAAGGAACACCGTCCCTAAAAGAGTATCTCTTTATTTTACTACTAACACCAAATCTGAGGGCTACGTGAGTGAAAGTGTTAGGAGAAAGCGTTGCAGAGGTGTTGGGAGGCAAAACAAGCCTATTTAGGGAGAACGCTGAAATGCATCATCCCCAGCAAGAAAGCATAGAATCACGTTCTTTGGGAAGAAAGACACAGTGTACTATTTGTTATATTTATCGTTCAGGTAATAAAAGAAGAAAGCCTTGTGTGAGAGAAAGAATCAGACTGCATTTTGGAATCTGAAATGAATCCCCTGTGCCAAGCTAAATGTAACTTGTTAGATTGTAGTTTTCTTCTCAGGATACTATTCTCATTTATGAGGAGGAGTGCTGGTGACTTCTTAATCTGAGTAAAGCTCTTCCTTCTAATTGACCTGCCACTTTCTCAGCACAGAGACACATCCTGTTTGCAACCTGTAGGTGGTCACAAGGGGGAGGAGATGGCAGCTCTCAGCCACCTCTGGGCAGCCTGAGTGTGGCCCGTCTGCAGATGCCTGGATATCCGGCTCCCCACAGCACCCAGTCCCTCCCCATCAGCTGGGAATGTCAGTGTTCTCAGCATTTTATTTGTTGCTAACATATTACAAAGTGGATTTGTTTCTCCTCTGATTGGCTGCTGATTGAGATACCTGAGTAACACACACTCACTACTGGAAGAATGGGCTGGAAGCATGGGTGCACCCCTGAGGGATTGAGGTCTGGCCCAAGGTCAGCCTGGAGCCATTGATGATGATTTACCACTGAACAAAAACCTCTAACCCAGAGACAAAGAATGGCATATGGCTTAACAACAGTTTTAAGACAATAAATTCATTTGGACATGCTTTTGGAGTTGATTTAATTGGATTTAGCTTGCTATATTTATATATTTTGTGAGGGCTGAGGGCCAAATCTTAAATAATATTTGACAGAAATTTTTCTATGGAAGTAAATGGTCTCTATGGATTTGGGTGTTTTATAGACAAAGACTTGATATATTTTAAGAATATTTAGAAACTAAGAAAAACACCGAACTATACTATATTTCCTAGAGAAATATTTTCTCAGTCGTGAGTGTGGACTTTAGAGGTGAGTGTTGTCACCAAATCTCTTCACAGTTCGGTTAGCCCTCATTTAGCTAGTTTTAGAAAGCGGTGCCATACTGCCATCTCGTGGCCATATTTCATATCAGAAAGGAATTAAAAAACATCTGAAATTTTAAAAGTATTTGCCCAGTATCTGCTGGCTCCCACCTGTGTCTAATATAATGACTCTGAACTAAGTAGAAAAACTCCTGTGAACTAAATATAAATATAAAGAAAAATGCTCATCAGGTAGATAGGATCACTGCAAATTGTCCTTATCTTTTTACAAAGAGCTGTTTTTAATAGTTTTATCATTTATATGAAAAAATTTTAAAGCTCTGCTGTTTATTTTTTTATTTTTTGTTTGCTTGTTTGTTTGTTTGGAGATGGCGTCTCACTCTGTCGCCCAGGCTGCAGTACAGTGGTGAGATCTCAGCTCATTGCAACCTCTGCCTCTCGGGTTCAAGCGATTCTCCTGCCTCAGCCGCCCGAGTAGCTGAGATTACAGGCTTGCACCAACACACTTGGCTAATTTTTGTATTTTTTTTTAGTAGCGACGGGGTTTCAGCACGTTGGCCAGGCTGGTCTTGAACTGCTGACCTCAGGTGATCCATCCACCTCAGCCTCCCAAAGTGCTGGGATTACAGGCAGGAGCCATCTCACCTAGCCAAGAAATTTGAATATATTTCATTGAGAATTAAATATTAAAGACTAATATTTGACAGGGCACAAGACTAATTGATAAAATTTTAGCCTTTAAAAAGTAATGATTTTAAAATATGCCAGCATTTCCCTTTGGCCTCAACCTTGGACTTGCTTTTTCAGGTACCTGTCTGACCTTCATGCGTCTGGTGACCCTGCTTGGCAATGCATTGGAGCCCAACACAAGTGGATCCTTCAGCTCATGCACAGTTGCAAAGAGGGCTACGTGAAAGATCTGAAAGGCAAGGATTTCTCTTCCAATGTGTTGTGTGATTCCTTCATGTCATTTTGATGCATTCTGGGAATGTTTAATGATGAAGGCACTGACTACCTAATTTACTTGGTATCTCTTATTATTGTCTTTTGCTTGTTTTGTGGTTTTTTTGGCCACTGGTTAGCATTGTACTAATGAAAAGGGACAACTCTTTTATCATGTCTGTTTTTGCGATTGGTGGACAGCGTTGACGTTTCGGGGCAGGCAGCGTGATGCCGAGGAGGTGACATTGGTCTTTGGTAACTATCAGTCTGCACATCGTCTCGTCAGGTGTATGTTGAGTCCTGCTCTGTGCCAGGCACTGCACCCATCGCTAGTAAGACATAGCTGCTGCCTCCCAGAGTTACCGCTAGAGGAAGGAAAAGCCACTAAACATGTAACTAACCAAATAAAATGCTGGGACATGTGATGAAAGAAAAAAAGAAAATCAAGATGTTCCAAAAGGGAGTAACTGAGGAGAATGCTTTAGATGGCTGGTGTGGGAATGTCTCAGAGAAGCCTCCGTATTAGAACTGGAAGGATAAAAGGTAGCTTACTAGCCATCTCAGCTTGAGAAAGGGACCACCTGTGTGGAGGCCCTGAGGGAAGCTGGGGGAGAGAAGTCAAAGGTCTATTTGTGTGCAGGTGTATTGGCTTTTGTTTGTATACTATCATTTGGAGAATATTGAGTATATTGAATGCCTGCTATGCTGCAGACACTGTTGGGTGCCAAAGTCACAGTAGTCAGGACAACAGACAAGGGCCTAGCTCATGCAAGCTCACAAAATAGTAGGGTAGACAGATAACCAGCCAGCTGTTAGAATATTGTGTGCTGTTTCATATGACTGGGGAAGTTCTGAGTGACATTGGAGTGCTTAGGAGTAGCCTCTGATCCAGGGTTTTGAGGTCAGGGGAGTGACATTCTGAGAGCTGAAGGGAGTGACATCTCTTTTGAGATCAGAAGGGTATCTGTACTTGACAGTTGAAATAGAGAAGGAAAGCATTTAAGACTTCCAGGAAGGGAGAATGTGCACAGGTTACAAGCACAAGAAGGCCTCTGAATCCTGTGTGGTTGGAGCTTAGATCGTGGAGGTGGAGTGAAGAGACGAACTTTCTTGGCTGCTGTGACAGGTTTGGACTTCACCCAGAGTGCGATGGGGAGTCGCTGACGGATTTTAAGCTGGGGTCAATGGATTGGGGGAAGACAAGCTCAGACTTACTTTTGAAAAGATGACGACTCTGGCCGCCCATAGTGGGTGGATGAGAGGGAGCAAGCCCAGAGCAGTGAAGCTGGTGAGGAGACAGGCACCCCACCTGATGTGGAGGTGGTGGGAATGTGAAGAAGAGCATGGACTCCAGGGCCGTTCAGGAATAGAACTGATAGGGCTGGATGATGGACAAATGAAGAGGAGGAAGGGATGAGCAGTGATTTCCAGATGGCTGACTGGCAGCTAGTTAGGGTGATGGTGCCACTGAGTTAGGGAACATAGGGGAGAAAAGTGATTCCGCCTCTTTGTTTGGACAGCTTGACTTGGGGTTGTCTGACATGTAAGTAGAGATGGAAGTAGTTGGATCTAGAGACTGAGAAATTTGAGCTTGGTGGGCATACAGGTGGTCCCTTGGAACTCGTGCATTTACCCAAGAAGACGAAAAAAGAAGCAAACTCAGGAAAGAGTCCTGACAAGTGATGTTTTAGGGGCTGGTAGAAGAAGAGAAGCCTTCAAAGGAAACGAAGAAGGGGTGGTCATGGCGGGAGGAAAACAGAAGGGAGTGGTCAGCAAAATCTCCAAGATGAAGCAGAAGATGAAAGAGAAATGTCCTTAGGATTGCTCTTACGCTGTTGGTGGTGACTCTGGCAAATGCAGGGCCTGAGACCTGAGCCCCTAACTGGATGACATGAAAAGGAGTAATGGCCCTCATCAGGTCCCTGGGAGGATCAGGAGCTGTAACAGGAGAGCAGTCTTGGTAGAGAAGGAAGTACAATGGAGAGGTCGCCGTTGTTTCTTTCTAGCATAGTTTTGTCATGAATTAGTTGGCTTGGATTTGAGTACTTTCCAGCTCTGATGCCATTTTTTTCTATGCTTGGTATTTAAGAAAACCCAGGTATCTCTGCTGAAGCCATGTCAACATCCCCATTAATGTCATTAATTATTTTATATTTTTAGCAAGTGAAAATGACAGCAAATGTTACACACAGTCTGCAGTCTTTGGGAATATTTAGAAAGCCTTACATATTTATTTCTCTGTTGATTCAACCAATAATTTTTGAGTCTACTCTGTTCGGCAGAGCTCTCAACCTTAAGGGCCCATCAGAGTCCACTGGGGATTTTTTTTTTTTTTTTCCAGACAGAGTCTCGCTTTGTCGCCCAGGCTGGAGTGCAGTGGCTCGATCTCAGCTCACTGCAAGCTCCGCCTCCCAGGTTCACACCATTCTCCTGCCTCAGCCTCCCAAGTAGCTGGGACTACAGGCGCCCGCTACCACGCCTAGCTAATTTTTTTGTATTTTTAGTAGAGACGGGGTTTCACCCCATCACGGTGTTAGCCAGGATGGTCTCGATCTCCTGACCTCGTGATCCACCCGCCTCGGCCTCCCAAAGTGCTGGGATTACAGGCGTGAGCTACCACGCGTCCACTGGGGCTTTTTAACAACCAGTTATCAATTCTTGGCCTTACCCCTTCCCTCCGTGCCAAGCACATTCTAATCTCTGTGGCTGGAGTCCAGGCAATTTCAAGCTCCCGGGCGATTCATGTGCAGCCAGGGCTGGTCACCAGGGTGCTGGCTGCTGTGCCAGGAGCCGGAAGTGCAGTGCGAGCTGGCCTCTTGGAGCTTGTGGTCTAGGGAGAAACACACCATCTAAAAAATCACATAGGCATGTATTCAGTTGGAATAGTGAAAAGTGTGAGGTAGTGGGGAGTACAAAATTGTATGAAAATGTATGATAGGAAGGGTGCAGTCCGGTTGAGGGGAAGTCCAGGGAAGTTTTCTAGAGGAGGTGAAATCTCAGTTGAACCTAAACAACGACAGTCAGTTCTCCGGATCGGCATTGAGACGCGTTCCAGACACCGTGCGGGTGCTGGACAGTCAGTTCTCTAGATCAGCATTGAGAAGCGTTCCAGACACCGTGCAGGTGCTCGACAGTCAGTTCTCTGGATCGGCATTGAGACGCGTTCCAGACACCGTGCGGGTGCTCGACGGTCAGTTCTCTAGATCGGCATTGAGAAGCGTTCCAGACACCGTGCGGGTGCTCGACAAATGTCACTGCTCTCCAGCAAAGGTGGTGATGAATGCAGTCACCATATTCACTGGATACAGATAGGATATGTGGTCTGACCAAGGATTTTCCTACTTATACTTTCAGGAAACAAACTGAATACCTAATTTGGTATGAAAATATTTGAATTTCTGGAATATGTGTGTAATTTATGAAGACAACATATGGACTTTTTGAAACTGGAAAAATTCCAGAAAATTTCATCTATCTCGTCATATCTTTACCTCAAATATCTGATAACCAGTATTCCATCACCAAAGGTCTGAATCTTTCTCAAAGATAGAGGGAAACACACCGTCATCTTTCCTTCCCTGACATCTTAATTTATTGCTATATATATTCATTCTAAATTGCTTAAAATCAGTGTTTTGGAAAAAAAAAAGGTGACAGAAGCTTTCTTGTAACTCACTTACTCTGAGCAAGCTTGTTGCGCACCTTGTTCATCACTTGGGAAATAATCGAAAGAATGTGCGTGGAATGGGAGCAGTGCCTCAGGTTACTTTCATTACTTCATCTTTTCATTAGAAAGTGAAGGGCCGGTGCGGTGGCCCACGCCTGTAATCCCAACACTTTGGGAGGCCGAGGCGGGCGGATCACAAGGTCAGGAGTTCAACACCAGCCTGGCCAACATAGTGAAACCCTGTCTCTACTAAAAATACAAAAATTAGCCAGGTATGGTGGTATAGCCAGGTATAGGCCCAGCTACTCAGGAGGCTGAGGCAGGAGAATCACTTGAACCCAGGAGGCAGAGGTTATGGTAAGCCGAGATCGTACCACTGCACTCCAGCCTGGGCAACAGAGTGAGACTCACTCCATCTCAAAAAATAAAAAAGTGGAAACAATTCCTTACAACTCTTTGAACTTTACAGTTTTAATGACAATACAATATAAATGTCTTAAATTCACATTTTATTTTTTCTTTTGACATTCAGAACATGCTTAACTGTTCCCTCTGTCATTGTCAGTAAACACTGCTAATCTAAATGTAGGTAATTCTAGCACATGAGAGGCTTTTAACTGGAAAATTGGGGTGGTTTTTTGAACTTAGGTCAGAAGCGATTTTCACTATTAAATTTTGGAAAATCCCACTTATATTTAAAAGCAGAAAGGATAATGTAACAATACCCCATGTACTCACGCTGACTTCAGCAGTTACCAACTCATAGCCAATCTCATTTTATCAGCTCATAGCCAGTCTTACCTGCTTCTCTCCCCTCCCTCACCCTGGATTATTCTAAAACAGATCACATCATTTTATCCATAATTAATTCAGTATGTAATTCTTAGAAATAAGGATTCTTTTTAAAAACTGTAGCCAAAATACCATGACCATTACCTAAAATATGAATATTTTTTAAATATGAAATACTCCAGTTTCAAATTCAGAAAGTTTAATTTCTTCAGTATCTTTCTGAGTGCATCGATAGCATTGCCCTTGAGCTGATACTCAGTGCACAGGCAAATGGTAAATGAAATGCGGCACAGACGCGGACAGAACGTTTCCTCGGATGGAAGGAGGATTCGCCATTAGTGAAATAGAGTGTGCTTTGGCCAGTTTGCATGTCGGTGTTTTTCTGTATGTGATCATTTCTATATGTGTATGTCATTGCACACATGTTAACTTTAATATACACATATCTATGGCCGGGCGCGGTGGCTCACGCCTGTAATCCCAGCACTTTGGGAGGCTGAGGCTGGCGGACCATGAGGTCAGGAGATCGAGACCATCCTGGCTAACACAGTGAAACCCCGTCTCTACTAAAAATACAAAAAATTAGCCGGACATGGTGGCATTTGCCTGTAGTCCCAGCTACTTGGGAGGCTGGGGCAGGAGAATGGCAGGAACCTGGGAGGCGGAGCTTGCACTGAGCCCAGATTGTGCCACTGCACTCCAGCCTGGGCGACAGAGCAAGACTCCGTCTCAAAAAAAAAAAAAATACACATATCTACATTTACATCTACAGGTAATGTCATATCTATGTTTGTGTATGTGTGCGTGTGTTTATATAAAATATTTGCCTTAATTATAAGTTTGCTGGGAATACACACAAATTTTCTTTTGTGTGATCTACAACTGTTGTTGACTAGGGACCCTTGGTGGATGTTTTATTATTGTCCTAATTATATATAATATAAATGTAAGGTAATATGGGGGAATGCCTACTAAATATTGTTTGGAATTTCCTTTGAGCATCCTCTCATAATTGTGACATTTTAGATGTGGAAGAAATCTGGGAAACTGTCTAGTTTTGTGGATGCCTTTAGCTCTATTTCGCATGTGACAAAGGTGTCTCAGAGAAGCCACAGGACAGACCCACGTCCTCCGTATCCTGAGTAGGGGTGGGACTAGTGGGTGTCCAGACACGTCCTCCGTATCCTGAGCAGGGGTGGGACTAGTGGGTGTCCAGGTCACTCCCCCTCTCACCTGATCACACTCCCTCCAGACCAGTGAGTTATGGAATAGGTTACTGAACACCTCCCTCTGAGTTACATTGTTGGAGCAAATATTGCATCAAACAGGATTTCTCAATGTGATGTCAGAGCAGGTGAGCGTTCCCCTGGTAAGGGAAGGCTGGCTGGTATTTGGGGATTCATGAAGAGCTGCACCTGAAACTAGCCAAGCTCGATGAAGTGCTTCTGGTCTTTATTACTTTTATGCTATTTTGCTATACATAGGTGAATTCTATTAAGGAAATTTTACACAGACCTCATCACTCACTTCTAAAATTATATGTGCAATGTAAATAAATGCTCTGAGAATGAGCAAGTTAAGAAAATGGAGGTGAGTGAGAGAGCATCCAGTCCCTTAGGAGGGATCCTGGGAAATGTAAGGCTGTCCCTGGGAAGGCCCGCAGTGCCCCCATCAGAGCCAAAGGAACTCATGGCACATACATTGGATGTAAAGCTTCAGAGCCGGCAGCCTGCAGCGGATGCCACCTCTCTCTTGACTCGAGTGTGTCTGGTTATTTTCTGATGCCCGGGGCTCGGTGACAGAGTACTTACTTGTTTGCTTGGCACCTGCTGTTTCCTTGAATTGATTATAGCTGTCTACTGAAGGCTAGAGCATTTGAAAACACAATTACTACCGTAAGAAATTGCTTACAAATGATCTGCGGTAAAAGGACTGCCTACATTTTATCTGGTACTTTGTTATAAAGCTACATTGTTTTTATGCGGGTTTTCTCAGGAGCCTGCTTTTAAAATGAAAGCTTACTACATTCCAATATAAAGAAAACAAGTTTTAAGTAGTTCCTTTATTATAATATCTGTACTTAGACTACTAACACTGTAAAGTTGTTTAGGTAAATCCACTAGCAGAACAATGGATAAGAAGAAGAATAGCTTTGTGAAATGAAATGCAATTTTAAATGGATAGACTATAAATATTTCAAACGGAAAAATAATTCTTGATGTCTGTTTAAAGTAAATGTGGTCTTTGTGCATGAATCTAAGAAATCTAACATATAAATATTTTTTTAAGTCTGCTTTTTTAAAGCAAAGACTTTTGCTTTTCACTTTGGTGGTTTGGGAAAAAAATGTTAATTGTATGTAGCCCTGTGGTATTCAGAGAAAATGTTATGAGCAAAGATGGTGACAGATTTTCAGAGACAGCAGTCCTACATACAAAGCTACCTTTTTCCGAGAAAGCTCCTTTTGTAGATGAAGCATTTGGCAGCAGAGTTTGCCGTACAGTTGATAATTCTATGAGTCCTGCATTAGATCCTTGTCTGGACTCGTTTTTGTAGTAATAATATACACTGGTGCTAGCAGATGGTGCCCTTCGGAGTATAACACGAGGCCAGGACAGGAGCTCACCCTTGCACCTCACACACCTGGTCCTTTACCCCCAAACGCTCCACATGCCTCTTGCATCCTCTAACTCTGTAGCCCAAATGTGATCATTTAGGTTTTTCTAAGGGTGGAAAAAGATGGGAAAAACAAGAGCAAAACTAAGGTTAATATTTTAAAAACTCATCTTGAAACCTTCTAAATACTGATGGAAGAGTTTATGGTGTTTGTCCAGCCTGAACAGGTTAACCATTTTGCTTCTCTTCCCCTATGTTCAAAGCAGCCTTGTGTTCTGAATTGTTATACATGTTAAACTTTTACTACCTTATTAAGAAGTGTCACCCGTCTCTTAAAATTCCTGTGAAATAGGTCCAAAATTAGACTGCGTCTTCAGAGGTTTCCTGCCAGGAAAAGCCTTTGGTTAACCCCCTACTGACATTCACAAACAGGATTTTTAAAGGTGGTCTTCAAAGGTGTTTTTTTCTTTGTTCTGAATGTGAGTTAAAATATATGCTGGCTATGTCTGATAACTTAAGGGAGAAGGCATCAGGCTACTCATAGAGAAAGTGTTACCTTCTTTCAGAGATGCACTTAATTAGAACTTCTAAAAGGACATCATTAGAATTAGGGTTCAGTAGGCAACATTTAGAACATGGCCACACTGTTAAGTAAGCAGTAAGTTCTCGAGAATAGCCGCAGAGCAGAAGAAAAGACATTTATACCTGGCTCAGGTTCTCTTTGAAAACTTAGAGATGGTATGTTCCATCTGAGTGGTTTATTTCGAGTCTTCACAGTGGTGGAGCTATTATAGAAAGAAAACTGAATAACAGGCTGTGCTAAACATCTACCCTTTTAATAATTTCTGACACTCACTAGAGTATTAATTACTTGCTGAAAGAAATAAAAACATTTATGTTACTCCAAGAACCTTAAGATACACAAAGTCCATATTTTCAGTACAAGCTCATAACATACATGCATAAATCATAGTATTACAATTTATGATTTTGAATTTACATAGTATAAACTGTTATATCTTGCTATTTTAAAAAATACAGCTAGGACCTTTACGTACATATTTTATATCATTTTTACAAATATTATTGGGGTTAATATTACATATAATTCTGGTATTACCATAATGCAGGGTCAGGTAGACTTCCTGTATGCGAGATTAAATTACAGCCCCCATTAGGAAACCATTAGCAGATTCATTGAATTTTCTGTGGAACCACGCAAATAATTTCATAGTTAAAAAGTCAGTGTAAGTGTATTGTTGTATATGTGCTAAATCTTTTAATAAAATTATCATTTTAATTTTAAAGTTATCATAATAAGGTTGCACATTAGGAAGCTTCTTTTTTTATGGAGTTAATTTTCTAGAGATTTAAAAAATTGTTTCTCTCCTGAATATTGATCACAGCCTGAACCCAGGTTGAGAGAGGTTGGTTTAAAAAAAGGAAAGGCACAACTGCAGCGAGCACAGATATGAGATGCTAGTTTCTTTCCATCTTGCCCTCCCTGCAGCTCAGCACTGGGGTGGTGCCTTTGTGACCTGTGTACGGCTGCCAGTGGGCGGACCTCCAGGGAAGGCTTCTGCTGTGCACTTGTTCGTTTGCATGCTGTGATGACAGAGTTTTTCAAAATTGTCTTTGGAAGATGAAATGCTTAGTGGGGTTTTATTTACCTGCTTTAAGATGTATAAGCTGCGCTATGTATGCAGCGTATGTGCACACAGTGAGAAAGTAGATTCAGGAGAGGGAAGTGGAAGAAGTCAGTAACCTGGGACTTGAGAATTTGATTTCTTTTGGAATAGCATAGCACTCATTTGTAGATCCCCATGTAGTAAAGTAACAGCTGTTGAATATCACAAGAAAAAGTTGGATTAAGGTCTCTTTTTTTTGTGTCTCCTGTTTTGTAATAGATTCTATTCACCTTACAATGAATAATCTTTTTTAGATCACACAGGCCAAAAAGGCTATGTGAAAAGGACCTTGTCAATTTGTGATTGTAGCAGCTGGTTCTTTTCCACTGCCCTGGCTTACTGTGCATCTGGAAGAAGACTTCTGGCAGCCGGAAGTCATTTCATGTCTAAACTTGTCCCCATCCTTCATAGAAAAAAAATTTTGATGATGAATGTCAAACACACATTGAATGCTAACTTTACTTGGTAATTAAAAATACTGATAATTGTAAGTACTTTTGTTCTGTATTCTGTTATTTTTGTAATTCCTTTATATGTTCTAAGCATTTTTCTGCATGTAAATCTATATGAAACTGCTAAAAGACATAGGACTTTGACAAAAACATACATTTCATTTTGGTCATTCACTTCTCCAGCTTACTTATTACAAATATATGATTCTCACATAACTGGCCAATGGTAGCTAATAAATGCTTCTTCAAAGTTTATACCTGTAGTTTTGCTTTTAATTTACATTTCCTTTGGTGAACTCTTGCTTTGAATGATACTGAAATGCACGTCCGAAATGCTGCCTGGAGCTTGTGAAGGACAGTCCTGAGTGAGTGAGTTAACAGGGGCTTCTTAACTGTGCCTCCCTTTGTTTAATTTGGATTAAGTGATTCTCTTTAAATTAAGGAAATGCCCCTGTCAGGACTTTAAAAATGTTATATATATATACATATATATGTATATGTATACATGTATAATCAGAAGATCAAAAAGCATTTTTATCTGTTGACACAGGTCTAATTCCTGAGGAATTTGTAACTCTGCCTTGATACGCCCACCGCACCCCCACCCCCACCCCCAGCTTTGGCATTGAAATTCTTGTGTGTGGTGCGCTTGAAAGGAATCCCATCCTGCCTGCGTCTGCGGAGGCTCCCGGCCCGTGTTTGGTCAGCAAGCAACAGTGGGTGGTCGGGCTGCTGTGCAGGACAACGGCCCGCTGTGCGCAGGAAAATGTGTTCAAAGGTGTTTAAGGGCCATGAGGAAGTCGGCCACCCTTCTGAGAGTCTGAGGCTGCAGATCAGTGTTCCCTACACTATTGTAGACTGTGAGAAAACTTGCTGTAGTAGGCATGAAGGATGAGAAAATACAGTAACCTTACTCACCTGGCTCCGTGTCTGCAGGCTTCCCTTAAGAAGGGTCTCTTCTGCCCTTTTTGTGGTATAGAGTCTGTTAAAAAAAAAAATACCGACTATTGAAAATCAGAAAGACTTGCACAGCTTTGAGTGGAAAGGATTTGACTGATATGGTTTCCTGGAAGTCCTACAGAATTCTAGGTATAATAAGCATTTTCTATAGAGTCTCGATTGTCAAAGATTGTTTACTTTCTTTTAGAAAAATGATAAATTTTAAATTTTTGATTATTTCTACACTTCTAGTGAAGTGACTAGGATTGTTTCATTAGTTTTCTGAAGAAAATTATTTCTGCAACTCCTGAAAACAAATTTTCCAACTGTTTTTCTCTTGTTAAAATGTCTAGAGGTATTTTTTTCTAATTTTATGTTTGTTTATAATTTGTTAAATGTATCTGCATACTTAAAATTAGAAAAGGAATTTTGAGGATATTGCAAGCATATGTTATAGAAGCAGTATTTAACTGGAAAAATAAAATACTAACTTTTGACTTCCAGTAGTTAAAAACAGTTGTGTCTTTTTTTTAATGTTAAGTGGTTAAAGGATTTTTTTTTCCTTCCAAGATACTAATTCCAGGCATTTGTGATAACATATGTATGTTTTCTTTGACATATTGACAAAATAATAACTCAAATACTAATGTGGGGAAGTTAAAAGATATAGCTAGATCCTAAGAATATTTATTTCCAGAATTTTGTTTTGTATCATTTTTCCTGCAAATATCACATAGAATTTTGCAATTAGAAATACTACGGTGATGATTTCCCACACTATAGGGTGATGTGCCTGTTCGCAATTTTGTATTCAGAGTAATCTGTAGTTATTCCTCAGGTAATGTTGAGAGATTACAACCAAATGTTTTTGATCTTACAAGCACTCACTCATTTGAGTATGTTTATTACTGTGCTTACTATCTTTAAGATAGCCAGGCTGAAGTCCATAACAAATATTATAAAATTCTGATACAGTTTTCACTGTTACTTTTTTTTTTTTTTTTTGAGACAGAGTCTCGCTCTGTCTCCCAGACTGGAGTGCGGTGATGTGATCTTGGCATTCTGCAATCTCTGTCTCCCAGGTACAAGCAGTTCTCCTGCCTCAGCCTCTCGAGTAGCTGGGACTACAGGCATGTGCCACCGCGCTGGCTAATTTTTTTGTATTTTTAGTGGAGATGGGGGTTTCACCATGTTGGTCAGGCCGGTCTCGAACTCCTGACCTCAAATGATCCACCCACCTCGGCCTCCCAAAGTGCTGGGATTACAGGCATGAGCCACCGCGCCCGGCCACACTGTTACTTTTTTATTGCTTTTAGTATTTTTGTGATGTAATTTCCATTTTAAGACATAATTTTCACATTTGCTCCATGTGTAGAGGCAAACTTTTTATACATTTAAAACGACACCACCACTGATCAGTGTCCAAAACTGTACGAACAGTGATCGGAATAAATGTCTTTTCTGTGTTGTTCTCAGTGGTGATTTAAGGTTTCTGATTTAAACTTTGAATCATAGAGTCAGAATTTTATAGCTAAAAAGACTTTTAGAATTGCATAGTATAAAGCCCTAATCTTTACAGGTATATTTTACAGGATAGGTTAGTGCCTCGGTGAGCTGCCACAGAACCTGATACCAACTGCATGGCCATGGAAATTCTTCATAAAATTAGTCCCTGCCTCAATTTCAAACTTAGGGAACAATTTGGTAGTATTGGCCCAAATGAAAACATAGTTATAACCTTTTCATCAGGGCCCAAGGTAATCATTTCCTGCTTTAAAAAAAAGGCTTTTTAAAAATTTTCATCCAGAAAACAAATTCTAGGAACAGTTAATTTCTATAGAAAATTTACTGCCAAGAGAACAAGTAACCTCTGAAAACTCCTATCAATGCAGCATTAGTTTGAAAAGGGCAGAGTCAAACACAATTTTATGTTGTTACGGGATGTTAAAAACTGCACCCAGGGCTGGACACGGTGGCTCACTCCTGTAATCCCAGCACCTGGGGAGGCTGACGCAGGCAGATCACAAGGTCAGGAGTTCAAGACCAGCCTGGCCAACATAGTGAAACCCTGTCTCTACTAAAAATACAAAAATTAGCTGGGCATGGTGGTGCATGCCTGTAGTCTCAGCTACTTGAGAGGCTGAGGCAAGAGAATCGCTTGAACCCAGGAGTTGGAGGTTGCAGTGAGCCAAGATTGTGCCACTGGGCTCCAGCTTGGGCAACAGAGTGACACTTCATCTCAAAAAAAAAAACAAAAAAAACTGCACCCGGCCACCATATGCTTTATGTAATGTGTATAGTTTTTTAAATGAGATATTGCTGTCATATTGTAAGATGAAACAAAATAGACTGATATGTGAAATATTTAAAGACTTTTGCTGATTTTATATTTTATGGAAACTGTTTTTTTCTTTTTTTTATAGAAATGCTTACTCATGAAACCAGTTCATATTTGTAATAATTTTGTGAGTCAGAAATAGTAAGTTATGTAATTTAAAAGGAGTGTCAGAATTATCAAGTTGTTTGTTTTTTTTTTGACACTTGGTCATACATAATTTGTGACAACTGGTATTTAAAAAGTTTGTGTTGCTTTTCTCTTCAAAACATAAGCTTTCTAATTCTCTATAAAATAACTCATTCTGAGATTATTTTTTGACAGTAAGAAAAGTACGAGTGTTAGGGAGAGAAATACATTTCTAAGCTAGTACCCACTGTTTAGTTGACAGGGCACATTATGCATTTGTGTGCAGCTGTGAAGCGCTACCTTCTGGACACTCAGCAAAAATACATCTTCCGAATGTATTCCAGATGCTGATAGTCCGGAGGGGCATGTGCTCTTCTAGCTCCCTGCTGCTGTGTTATACTTCTGGTAATGCCAGGGTACCAATTGGAAAATTTGTTCACGGTTACCTTTGTTTTCCTGATATAGAAAACTGATGATGTGGTTTCTAATAGAACAAAAGCATAGTAATACAGTTTCTGTTATTAAAGGAAAAAAAATCAATCTTTTAACCATTACAAAACTCAGGATGTACTTAAACTATACAAATGGTTTAATATTAAACAATTTAAAGTTATAAAAATACCAGTTATAAGGAGAAAACTTTTTCTGAAATAATTGTATTTTTGCAGGAATGGTATATGCGTATTTTCAGGAAACTAGGAAGTGTTTTCCTTCTTAATCATAAATTCATAGTCCTAAAAACCTTCAAGAGTAAGTGAAATGTAACAGTTTAAAGCATTCTTTTTTATACTTTAAAAATGTACATTTTAATATAAATTAGAAGTTTTTATATGTATTTTTAATGTGACGCTAAGTTTGGGCCCCTTTATTTTTCTCTTTAAAGTATGTTAGAAAATTCATATTTTGATATTCATTTCCTGAATTCCACAATTGATAGAAGTGACAACTGTATAAACTTCAAAGGAAAATGTCATAAATCACTAGAACATCCACACAAACATTTTTATATGAAAAAAAGTCAATTAGAAAAAAATACTTTCTTCACTGTATTTTTTTTCTCTGTCACATTTTTTTGGTAACACAGTGGATTTTATAAGTCTTCTTATCTTAGCTTTAATATTTTCAAAAATACAAATGTATGCACAGCATTTATTTAGCACAGTGGCCAAAACATAGTAAGTCTTCAAAAAAACTTCTGTTGCACTAAAAAATCTGTTCAAATGATTTATTTTCTATTTATCTAAGACCTACCAGCTAGAATTTGTGGGGATCTGGAGAGAGAGATGATAGTGTGTCACGTCCAGGGGCACACGGTAGGAGGGCCTCAGTCAGATCAAGCCTTTTCTTACCACACAATCACTATTTACCTCCTCTGCTTAGCGTTTTTTTGCTATAGTTTTGTTGTTTATTTATCTATTGGTTTATTTTCTGCCTCCACCACCAGAATGTAAACATCTTGAGAGCAGGGCCTTAGATATTATTCATCACTTTATCCCCCGGGCCTGCAATTCCTCACATGCGGGAGGGAGCTCAATAAATACCTGTTAAATGTTATTGAATAGTTTGCATTATCAGAGACACCAAAATGTTACTTTAATTTGGAAATATGTTTTATATTAGCACCTGAAAACAACTCCATAGGCTTTTAATATTCTATTAAGTTATAAAGTAAAAAATATATTTTTTAGTGTCAGTCACTTACTACATGTGGTGGGAGTTATTTGTGGAAGGTCCAATGACTGTGGGGAACATGGAGATATATTTACTTCTTATCCCTGAGAAAACAGCAGTCTTTGGTGGAGATAGGCAATACCTAGCTGTTAATGAACTACAGACTCTAGAATGTGAAGTCGATTAAATTATATACATAAATTATATACATTCTCACTGCTGTCAGAGGGCAGAAAAGATAGGTAGCACTTTAGGTAGATAAGAGGAAGAGGTGACCTTGTGTAATAGCTGTATTTCAAGTGGCATCTTTCAGGATGTGGGTTTAAATGGATGAAGAAGAAAAACTGAGTGAGGCCTTTCCAGTAGAGAGGATAGCAAATAAGGCAGCAAAATGTAAGGTGTATTTTTGTAGGGAGAATATTCAAGTGTCCTATGCACAGTACTGTAAATACTCTGTAAATGCACTTTGAATTCAGTTTATTTTGAAGCTCTTTGAATACTCAGCTAAAGAGTGGTGTTTTAGACTAACAAGGTAAATTTTACCTCTTCAAGCCAATGTCCTTACTAACATGCTTGGCAACATGGAATTCTATTCCTAAAGGCTTTTGTGATCCATTTTAGAAAAATTGTTTCCTAATTCTCAGCATAATTTGGATTGGAAAACATCGGGGTAGACTTTATCCTGCCGGTTTTCTGGAAGACTTCTCAGATGAGAATCAAAAAAGCAGTATTTGAGTGTGAGACAATAAAGACAATTTCTTGATGGTAGTAGAATGTTCTGGCTTCTGGCATATGAAGTGTGAGGTGAAAAGGATCCACACTAGATGACTGGCATCAAGAAACGCCATAGGGAGTGAAATCCCATGTGTCCAAGAAACAAATGGTGGGATTTGGGGATTTAAGTGTAAAGTGTGGCATTAAGGGAGAAGTCAGAGGAGATTTATGCTACAAAAATGTGTAAGTCAGCTACATTTAAAGAAACAGAAGATTCTGAACTCCATTATCTTTCCTAGTGCCAAAAGTTGTTTTGCAAAATGTGATTTTTCCTGCTACTTTTTGTGTTTATAGCATTATCCTCCCACCACCACCCAATTTTGCTGAACTGAGAATGACTTTTAAAATCTGTTTAGAGAAAATACTTTTTATTTTATTTAATAAATGCCTTATTTAAGAGTGGAGCAATTGAGCAAGAAATAGCCTCAGAGAAGCAGACCATTAAATCAACTAAGCAAGAGTATATAGAGCATGCTATATACTCTGTATATCTCTCCTTTCTTCCCCAGGTAACCCAGGCCTGCACAGTCCCATGTTGGATCTTGATAATGATACACGTCCCTCAGTGTTGGGCCATCTCAGTCAGACAGCGTCCCTGAAGAGGGGCAGCAGCTTTCAGTCTGGTCGAGACGACAGTAAGTATCTCCCTCCACTGCCACTGGGTCTTTTAAATTTGTACTCGTGTAATTTCAAACATTCTTCTCTTGGAAAATTCCCCAATTTGTGTTGATACTGGTGCTAAGTATTATCAGCCATCATCGCTTTTGCTTGTTACAGTAACTACCAGTAATTTAATAATTAAAATATATATTACATTTAAAGGAATGCTATTTGATTTTTAAGTCATTGGGTGCAGGTCAGTGCTTATTAAACATATTTAGTTCAAGTCTAGTTTTACTTTTTCTGTGGTTGAATTTTTTTAAAGTGCCACAGAAAAAAATTCTGTGAGAACTTCATTAAGATGGAATTTGCGATAAAAGTAGTATCAGTATACCTTTTTTGATGAAATTTAAACTTTGGTCTGGAAAGAGGGATTGGCTGTTAATTAACCATAAAATACTTGCTAATAATTTTTCCTAAGATGAAGCATCTAAAATTTTAAGTATGTTGCATTTCTGAACTTTCTGGAGTGGATATTTACCATTTTCCTATTTGAGATACAACATGATCGACTATCAGGCATTCTTGCACCAAATTAGATGCCACTAGTCAGGAGCCATTTGTGATCTCAATAACAGATATAAGAAACCCAAATAGACTAATAGAAATACCTTACATTGTATTAAATTCAGATACCTGTACAGTTGTTTTAAAATGTCTTATATTATTCTTAACAAGCATTGCAGTAGGGAATTTTTCGAAGGTTTTATTAATATAAATGAATGTTCATCATAAGAGCACCTTAAAATTAGATGATTCATTTGTACTAAATGAAAGGCTTCCATAACTGTTGGTATTCCTTCTTCTTGTCCGATTCTCATTCCTCTCCCAGCTCACCAAACATTAGAACAAACAATGTTAGATCAGAACCGTTTGCTCCTACATTCTGTGGGACAGCAGCTAACATTATATAATGTTCAATGTAATTGCACAGAGGAGCTGAGATCTTTTGAAACATTATTCTTGGGAAAGATACCATGTAAGAATCCATTTGCTGCCATATTAAGCTGTGTTAGTCTGTTTGTGTTGCTATAAAGGAACACTGAGGCTGGGTAGTTTATAAAGAAAAGAGGTTTATTGGCTCACAGTTCTGCAGGCTGTACAGGAAGCATTGCGCCGGCATCTGCTACTGGGAGGCCTCAGGAAGCTTCCAGTCATGGCAGAAGGCAAAAGGGGAGCCAGCATGTCGCATGGCAGGAGATGGAGCGAGGGAGAGGATGGAGAGGGAGCGAGGGAGAGGATGGAGAGGGAGCGAGGGAGAGGATGGAGAGGGAGTGAGGGAGAGGATGGAGATGCCAGGCTCTTTTAACCCATTTCCCATTTAGGGAAAAAAGGTGCAGCTCACTGCTGGTGCTCACTTAATTTACATAAACATGTTCTTTGAGGCTGAAGCAAATATCACTGATTTTCAGTGTGAAAACAAAATATAAGAACTGTTCTTGGAATTATTTCTAAACAACTCGTCTCTAATCCTAATGTAATAGAAATGTAAATGGTGTTCCATTAGGATTAGAGACAAGAGTGTTCTCGGGGCACACGGGCAATGGGTGAAACAACTAGATCTTGTGTGAACTCATAGAGCAAGAACTCACTCATTATTGCAAGGACACCAAGCCATTCACGAGGGGCCCGCCCCCATGGCCCTCCTGCAACATTGGGGATCACATTTCAACATGAGATTTGGTGGGGACAAAACATCCAAATCGATCAAAGGCAAATCTTTCAGTGCTTCCATTTTTAGATTTTCTTGTCCTGTTTTTCACCTTGTCATTGGACCCTTGACGCAGCTGGCCATGGCCTCGCCCTGTGGCACGCCACCTGCCATCTGGAAAACAGGCATTACCAACTACTGTTGGGGAGAGGAGTCTGTAACTGCTGTCTCCAGATGAAACCCACTCACCTCAGATTACCATCATGGTGTATTCAATTGGTTAATTGACTGTTCTGTTAGATTCTAAGCTGTGAAGGCAGAGCCTGCCTTGTTCAGCATTCAGAGTGAGTTTTGATCTTGGGTGGAGCCACATGATAAGCACACGGTTAATCCTCAATAAATATTAGCTGAATGAAAAATAAAAGTTTACAGTGTGCCCTTAAGTAAAGAACCGTTCCTTTCACACCTGTGAAAATGAGTTTAAAACTTTTTCCTGCAACTCCTAGCATAGACAAAGGGCTAATATACCTAATAAATAAAGAGGCTCTATAGCCTACACAGAGGACGTGTCAGTGGTTCTTACACGTGTGAGTAGACACTCAACCCCACAATAGTAAGAAGAAAGGTCGCATAACACTACAATGAGATACGAGGTTGGCAAAAACTCTGAGTGTTTATCGTTTTGTTTTGGGTTTTCTATGTTTGTTTGTTCATTGATGAGGCCACTACTTGCACGTGTCACCGGTGGAAGTATGAGGGCATACTTCCTTTAGAGGGCAGTTCAATAATATCTATCAAAATTACAACCACAGGTGCTCTTTGTCCCAGCAATTCTTGTTCTGGACGTTTTCTATGCTTTCACTTGAGCATGTGCTAAATGATATAGGTATACAGTTACTGGCTGAAACATTCATTTTAATTGCAAAAGACCGAAGACAGTCTTGTCCATTGGAAGGGAACTTGTTAAATTACGATACGTCAAAAATGTGAAAGGCAGTATAACTGTGGGGAGAAAAAGAGGAAGCCTTTGCCTTACGTTTGAATACAGAAGAACTCCAGGATCCATCGCTAAATGGAAGAAGCCAAGCTTCAAAAGAGTGTGTTTGGCCTTTCGTTTGTGTAAAAACCAAAAACGTGTAAAGAACAGTTGGGAGGGAGAAAAACACATTTATACTTGCTTGTGTATATAAAAAATATTTCAGAAAGAGTCACAATAACTAGTGACAGTGGTTTCTTCCGGCTGGGAACTAGGCACTTGGGAGTGGAGGGGCAGGAGGTAGACTTTTCACTGTGTACCTTTCAGGTGTCATTTTCTAACCATGTATTACCTGATCAAATAACTATTTAAATTATTAAATCATTAATAAATTATTAATACAATTTTATTAATAAAATTTCTTAATAAAATTAAGAAATTTTATTAATACAGTTTATAAAATTTGCCCTTCCTTCACTGGACTAACAACAGCAAATCCTTTTGCTTGGGGGTATTTGGAAAGGAAGCTAGCAATTAGCCTGGCCCAGGGAATAAACGTTCTCATGGGAGTCCACCTGCCCCTGAAGTTGCTGAGTAGGAGTTAGAGCCTGATCCGCGGCGTCATTGTGCTGAGGACTGGACGGGGTGGACTCTGCAGTGCCCCTGCCATGGCCACCGAGTGGAGTGCGGGGCGGGAGGCAGGTGGGAGGCAGCAGGGCGAAGGCATGGCCCTGGGAGTGAAAAGAAAGAAGGGAGACAGAGGACATGGTGAGTGGGTCCTGAATTTCTACACTTGCTTTATTCCCATGAACCTGTTCTTCCCACAAGAAGTCTAAGCCCTTATTTCCCAGTTACAGCAATAGCTATGTTAAATGATGTATAGCCAAAGAGGTTTCAACGTTTCTAGTTTTTCTTAAATTTCTTTATTTTAGGTGGGGTTATTTAGTATGTGATTGCACTAGAATGTTTCCTTGTGATAACTGGATTCCTTCCTGCATTCTCACTTCCCAGGGTGTATGATGGCATTTCTCACAGGCTGATCAGCTGCAATTTCACAACTGGCTGCACAGCAGCCCCTGCCTTTGCTGTTAGAAGGCGGGACTTTTTGAAGAGACGTTTACTATCCAGAGGACAAGGCTGATAAGTCAAAGCCACCTCCTCTCGGTAGCCCTCCCAGTACTGAGGCTGTGGCCACCTGGTCCCTTGCCCTGGCTTGCTGGTCAGCCATGAGGGAGAGGGGCTCTTCCTTGCCAGAGGGCAAGGAGAAATGCGGGGGTGTCTGGTGACGAGCGTACCGCTGCCGGTGTCAGCCAGGTGGGCCGCGAGCGTCCACGCAGACTCAGGCTATTCCTAGTGCATGTTGGAGTTTTGCGGGAGTGGAGGGGGGTGCGCCAATATGCTCAAAGGTGTTTTCTTGATTCAGAAGTACAATCATAGTATTTTATTCTTTTCCCCCTTAGCGTGGAGATACAAAACTCCCCACAGGGTGGCCTTTGTTGAAAAATTGACAAAACTCGTCTTGAGCCAGCTGCCTAACTTCTGGAAACTCTGGATCTCCTACGTTAATGGAAGCCTCTTCAGTGAGGTGTGTATACGGACTCGGCTAGAGGTGGAGCTGAGTCACCGTGCATTTCTGGTCTTTAAAATGTTAGATTTAAGTGATTTTTTAAAATGTAGAGGCCCAACATCTCTAGCCATCGTCATAGTTTAAAATCAGTTAAAGCATTATAAAGCCCTCTCACTTAGTAGCTGTGTGACCTCGAACAAGTCACTTTTCCTCATGTACAAAAAGAATAGTCTGGGCACCTGTCTCAAAAGGTGGTTGTAGGGATTAAATGAGATAGGCAATTAAAGAAAAAAGAAAGCTCGAACTCTTTTCAGGGACTCCGAATTGAGATATTGCCAGTCAGGCCAAATTCTGGGTGATGTGCGGTAGACTGTGAACAAATGAGGAAACAAGGATAGCACCTTGGCAGCCGGCACCCGGAACAAAGTCATCCATAGAGTATGCAATTTCCCTTGGAAAGGATGTAAACATTCTGCAGTCTAGCCCCATTGTTATCAGCTTACAGAAGTTTTTATGAGCCCGTCCACCTTCTGCAGTCACACATTTATTAATGCTTTAGTATCTTCATCATCATATGACTGATAGCATAGAAGGCATGAACATAAAGGAATGACTCTGTTATGTGTGGCACATGGAAGTCAGTCACTTTCTAACCTCACCTCAAGTGCGCCATGAAAGGCCTCCGGCTCCTGGACATAGATTCTAACGCCCTTTGTCCTAGGCTGCCAAGGGCACCCCCGTGGGAGACTGAGAAGACAGGTGTTTCGTGTCTCTGCAGGAGACCGACTCTACACCAAGAGCTCTGGGGGAGATAGGGGTCTTCTGAGAGTAAAGGCTACTTTCTGCTTCTTTTTGACTTGGCAACACACAAAATGGACATGGGCAAAGGCTAAAACCATTTTTGGTTTTTTGCACAAAGGCACAGCCTTTGTGGTTTAAACCTCTCCTCCTTGGCGGAAAGTGGCTAAGTGTCAGAGTACCTCAGGTGTCTTTGGAGTCTCATTTGGCCATGACCATAAATTCATGCTGATATTAAGGAAATAGAGATGTGCTCTGGAACTTTTTTCTTTGTATATTTGAACTCCAAGTGCCTAGTATCTCCGTTGTAAACCCGCTGGATTCCTGCAGCCTTGTTTATGTGAATGGTTGGTTTTCTAACCTATAAAATTTACTATGTGCATAAAAACAGAAATGTGTAATGCATGAACACAAACTCCTTAGTGCAGAAAAACCAATCGTGTAAGCACAACTTATCAATGCATTTTTTCTTTAGTTTCAGTTATCAGTTACTTTATAAGTGAACATTCAAATATTAAAGCAATACACAACTTTCTTTTCTTTGTTAGTTATGTATGAACTCTATTGAAAAGTTGACTATACAGAGGAAGTTCTTCCATGAAACGAACGTCAGGTTTCGCAGGTCTACATAATGAGAGTTGCTTATTGCTGGCTTAGGAAGTGAATAATTTCAGTTTTGTCCTGATAAGTCTTTCCAGTACTCTGCTTCTGTGTGTCACCATCAGTTTGTGTCTCTGTGATCTCAGCTGGGTGAGCTGTGGGGCTCACCATGCTGAGGTCAAGCCTTGGGTCCCCCTTGCCCTCTGCACAGTGACAGTAGTGGCACCGCAGGCACCAGCTTCCTCTCTGTGTCTGCTCTGTCCCTAAACCAAATTGTTCGTGTGGGCAGGAAAGATTAGATGCTCCCCTGTCATGCCTTTGGACAGATGGCATTCATAGGTTTTCACGCAGAACACTAGGAGCATAATAGAAACATCCAGTGTCTATCACTTCCTAGCCGTGACCTTAGGCAAATTACTTCTCTGCACCTGCTTCCATAGGACTGGTTTGAGAATTCAATGAGTTAGCATGAGTGAAGTGCTGATAATAATGTCTGACAGATAAGTAAGAGTTTGCTGTTATTATTTGGAGTAAAATTTATTCCAGTATTTCCACTGTTTGAAATCTCATCGGCCTGGCACATGGTAGGTGTTCAGTGAACAAAATTTTGTAACATTAGAAAATAGTAGACTGATGAACTGCTGGAGTAGAATTGAATAATGTCAAGCTGAATCAACTCATCTAAAGAATTAGAATTACTCTTTTAGGGCCAGGCGCGGTGGCTCATGCCTATAATCCCAGCACTTTGGGAGGCCGAGGCGGGTGGATCACGAGGTCAGGAGATTGAAATCATCCTGGCTGACACGGTGAAACCCCATCTCTACTAAAAATACAAAAAATTAGCCAGGCGTGGTGGCGGGCGCCTGTAGTTGCAGCTACTCGGGAGGCTGAGGCAGGAGAATGGCGTGAACCCGGGAGGCGGAGCCTGCAGTGAGCCGAGATCGCGCCACCACACTCCAGCCTGGGCGACAGCGCGAGACTCCGTCTCAAAAAAAAAAAAAAAGAGAAAGAATTAGTCTTTTAGGACATGGATTTTAAGCCGTAGTGTTTGTTTCCAGCCAAGTGTTTTTCCCTCATTTGCATCAGTTCCTACAAGTGGCCCACCACACATGGACAGTAGTTGCCTTCCCTGGAGTCTTTTTGAGTCATAAGATTCCTAAGAATTTTTGATCTAGGATATTTTAGTGAAAAGGGAGTATGTTTTGCTTTCTTACAGATTACATACCAAACATATAAATGAAATATTTGGTCGTAGATGAAAAATAAATCATCTACTTCAGAACTCATGCACAACATTAATGGTGAAATGAAAAAATGACTCTTAATTGGTTGTGCTGAATTGGATATGCCTATGACGTGTCTACCTGTCTATGTTTATAAACTTAAAAGCTTATAGCAATAATTACTAATTACGTGTAATTTGCTCTGCAGATTTGGGCATGCTTTGAAACTGTGTGCCCTCTTCTGAAGAGCTAGAGGAAAGCGCAGGGCTGTAGGAAGGAGCAGAGGAGCTGGGGACACTTGCTTCCCTTGCCGGTCTGCAAGTGAAACCCAGAAGCTGGATTGAATTCTGGGAAGAGTTCTGGGGCTTTTGATAGCTATTTAATCTCACACAAGAAAGCATGATAGTTTTTAAACACAATTTATTTGAATTTTCTTATTTTTCTTGTTATAAAACTATCTTGTTGTATTAAGAGCCCATCCGTTAAAAATTTAGATGAAGTTTCCAACAGTTTAAAAAATAGTCAGTTCTTCAAGCCAGTGAAGGCCATGTGAAATAACAAATGTGAATCAAAACAGTGAAATCAGCCGTTGCTCTCACCACAAAGCAGTTTTGGTCTGCGTGTGCAGGAAAGAGTTAAGGTTTCTAGTTAACGAAATGGTTAATAGTAGGTTAAGATCTCACCTTTAGATATATCTTAAATATAGTGTATTTTTAGATAAAAATCTTTAAAACAGCCAAATAATTGATGAATATTAAGAGTCAGCATTTTAAAAAGTTACATAACTCAATAATATATAAATTAAAATGCCTTACATATTCCAAAATTAGATTTTCTTTTAAAAATAGGGCAAACTTTACATAATCCATTGTGTTGGAGATATTCAGCTCTATTAAATTAAAACAGTAAGTAACAACTGAAAGCGGTCTGCCCCACAACTAGTTCCCTTCCCCGTCTACTTTTCATGTGTTTGGAGACAAATCCTTGAATTTTACAAAATTACTGTCCAGTACATTTCCTCATGCACTCATGAACACCTATTTGTTGGGCAAAATTGTTGTGGCAAAATTTAGCCTTAATTTTTATATGTTTTTTAACAACAGATTTTCACGCTTTTCTTTGATTTAAAAATATGTAATAGAACAAATGACTATGAAATAATCTTCGCATTGCACAGTCTTACTATGTACAAAGTTTGGTATCAGGTACTGTGGAGGATACAAGCAGAGGATATGCCCTTTGACAGTCAAGACTCTTGCAGTTTTATACTGGCATGTGCCTCCCTCCATAGCAGGTGAAGCAAGCGTCCACGAATCAGGGTGCTCCAGGGCAATAGAACCAATAGGATGTGTATGCCTATCCCTGCACTCACACACACACATACACGAAGAGATCTATGCTAAGGGGTTGGCACATGTCATTATGGAGACTGACAAGCCGCAAGGGTCTGCAGGATGCATTGCCCAGCTGGATGGCCGATGCTGTAAGCTCCAGTTTGAATGCCAGCCGGCTCGAGACCTAAGGAGAGCACATGTTTCGGTTCAACTATGAAGGCACATAAAGCCCACAGTGTCCCAGCTTGAAGGCAGTCAGACAGGAGGAGTGCCTCTAACTCATGGGAGGATCAGCTCTTTTGTGCTGTTCAGGCCTTCAACTGATTGAGCGAGGCCCATCCACATCCCGGAGAGGTTCTGCCGTGCACAGTGCATTGATGCGCATGTTAATCTATCCAGAAACACCTCACAGACACACCTAGAGTAATGTTTCACCAAATGTCTAGCACCCTGTGGCCCAGCCAAGATGACACCAAATTAACCATCACAAGGTCCTTAACAAAGATTTAGCTCCTGACATTCCAGTAGGTGCTGGGCTCCGCAGCAGTGTCTGAATTCAACAAGCAAAGCAGTCCTCCTAACCCCCAACCGTCACACAAAGCTCTCCAACCTCTGCTCATCCCATTTGCTGACATCTGACATCTCCGGGAGAAGAATTGGGCATGTTAGGTTTTTCAGGAGTAAATCATAGGGTTACGCCTGGCAGATCTGCCTCCCGGGGCCACTCTCATGTCGGGACCCAGAGCGTTTGGGGCAGTTACACTTTCTTAAGTATATTCAAGAAGATCTTGGAGAACCCTAACCCTAGGTGATCATTTATTCACCAGGGCCCAGGTACTGAGACACACATGCATGCATGCACACGTAATATACACATGCACATGTATGCATGCACACACACAACAGACACACAACACATCATGTACACGTATGTAGACATGTATGAAACATTAATGTATAACACATGCATATAAATGCATGCATGTACTCAGTATGTAGACATACACATAAATTTACACATATACATATCTACAATATAAATAAAAGTCACCAAAGTAAGCATGACCTTTCCTCTTCTAGAGACAGAACTCAAATAATTTTTTTAAATTATTATTTTAAAAATTCTGGTAACAGCTATAAAAGAAACAAATAGGGTTGTAAGACAGAATATCAGCAATGGGTTGGAGGTCAGGGAAGGCCGCTCTCTGGAGGTGATATTGAAACTGACACATGGCACAAGAGAAGGACACAACCACACAGAGGATGGGGGGAAGCAGGCCCCAGGCAGCGAGAAGGACGCCTGCAGCACCAGGAGGGCAGCTCAGCTTATCAGAAAAGGAAGAAGCGTCCTGAGCAGTGGGAGGGCTGGGAGGGACAGGCCCAGCTGGCAGTGGCTTCATCCCAGGCCATGGGGCGGGGAACAGACCAGCTTTCCAGTTTTAAAAAACCCACCTTGGTGGTGTGTTCAGAATCAATTGGTGGGGACAAATGTGGGGGAAACCATGGAGGTCCTCCAGGCAGGAAACAGTGGTGGTTTGGATAAGGTTTCGTCAGTGGAGTTGGAGAGCAGTTGGTAGGTTTGGTTGTATTTTGGACGTGGTGTTCAGGTGAGGGAGAGGAAAGCAAGAATTCTGACGTTGCTCGCAGTGGGCTCCTGAGCAGGAGTGCCGTATGCCAAGCCAGAAAGACCTAAGAAAGAGCATGCTTGGAGGAAGCTTCAGATTTCCATTGATAATGTGGTAGATTGAGATTCCTGGGAGTTATTCAATATTCACATATGGGTCACAGAGGAGATATTTGGGCTGGAGATAGACTTTGGAAGGCATTAGATAGAAATGATATTTGAAGCCACGGGAACAAACTAGACGGTATAGACAGCAAAGAAAAAAAGTACCCAAGCCTAAGACCTAACAAACTGCAACATGTAGAAAAGAGCTATTTGTCACCTCAGTGAGCAGGGCATTCATTTGCTCGATGCCCATACCCCATACCACCAACCACGTTCTGATTCTGGTCTTCACACTGGGCAGACAGAAAGCAGCTGAACAGACACTCAGAGCCGCTGGTGTTAGCCGAGCGGGCGTGCGTTAGGTGGGGGTCCCTCTGCGCATGCCTCCTTCCTCACTGCAGCACCAGGGCAGTAGGTTCTCCTTCAGGCGGCCTGTCTCAGCCACCTGGGCTCACCTGCTGCTGTCTCAGTGTGGCTGTGTTCACCTGGGCCACTGCAACATCCTGCTGGCTGGTCATACTCGCACACTGGCCCCTCATTCCTTCTTCTTAATGTAGGCCTCACAGCACTCACCTGCTTAAAACACTTCAGTTCCTTCTCATTTGTCTTAAAAATAAAGGAAAAATCAACCTATGAGTTAAACCCTGGGGTACAAAGAATTTTAAGTGTCATTGACCAGTGAACTCAGGAGCTAGCTTTTTGAATGATTATTGAGATGGATTGCAGGTTTAGTTTTTATACATACCTTTAATTCTTTCAAGACAAAAACATATTTCTACAAAGAAAAAAATGATAAAAGCTGCGTAGTTTAATATAAAATTTAAAAATGAATGGAAACTACAGTTTGAAGGATGTTGGTCTGTGTATGTGCTGCCCGTTTTTTTGTCAGGTTTGTCTGATAGTTCTGTTGAAAACACCCAACAATCCTAACCCATATTTTACTTACATTGATATGTTCATTATATAAACTAACCCTACACGCAGTTTTTATAGCTTATACAGAAATAAATATATATACAACGTGCATAACATTGCTTGTATTTTAAAACTGACTTAAAGTCAATATCATGATAATTTATAATGCAACTGTTCTTAACTTGAAAGGTCTCTTGACTTGTCATGCGTTAACCGATAAGGCATGAGCATTTTCACCTTAAAGGTTAACTTTTGCATTATGTCAATGAAGTGTCAGAATTTTATTTTACATTGTATAATTTTGTTAATGCTTCTTTATTTAGAAAGCTTCCTGGGCTTGTCCTTCTAGGTTATTTTATATAAAAATATTTAGTTAGAAAATTTGTTAATAAACAGTTCTCTGAAATCCAACTGAACAGGCTTCTCTTTTAGTCAATATAAAGTAGTTTTCCATACATTAAGGGGAAAGAGACAATGGAAAAAAACATGAGTTATATCAGTAAACAAACAAAAATTAATTCTAGAATGATAGAATGTATTTTATCCTAAATTACACTGAAATCTCTGAAGGAAGAGCCATAGTTTATAGTATTTAAAACTAAAATGACAGATTTCAGAGTTTAGGCTTCCTTTGGTTTCTTTACTAGCTAATGAGAAATGATGTTGACAGTGTTGTCGTGGGTATGATACCTGATGGTTTAACCATACGACATCGTTGGTGAAAATGGTAGATGAAATTCACCTGTAAAATCGGTAGTTTCAACTTAATTCTTGGATTCATTCATGGGAATTGTACGTAAAGGTTTTAGAAAGATAAATAACTTCTCATTGGGATAAGAAAGGTTTTCTAATGAATCATTCTTTAATCAGAAACATAGATTATGTCTTAAGCATTTCTTTTAATCAAGTTATAACCATATTTAATGTTCTCTTGATGTACAAGTGCTAAAGCATTTCTTATTTTTAAATTATTTCTAATATGTTTTATTTTGTTTTTTTAATTTTTAAGACTGCTGAGAAGTCAGGCCAGATTGAAAGATCAAAGAATGTAAGGCAAAGACAAAATGATTTTAAGGTGAGTAAGGGTGATAAGTATGTAGACCTTTTCACAGGGTAGGGTTTTTCCTTTCTCACTTTGTATTCAAGACATCCATTACTGCCCAGGCAGCATCTTTTAGTTAATGTAACCCGATTAATCACATTTGAACACGGTTATGCTTGTTCCTGGTTTTCTAGAAAATGATTCAGGAAGTAATGCACTCCCTGGTGAAGCTTACCCGCGGAGCCCTGCTTCCCCTCAGCATCCGGGATGGGGAAGCCAAGCAGTACGGAGGCTGGGAGGTGAAGTGCGAGCTCTCCGGACAGTGGCTCGCTCACGCCATCCAGACTGTAAGGTGAGTATGGACACATTCTCAGAGAAAGGCGTACTTCTGTTTTTTTTAACTTTTTGGAAAGAATTAATACATTCAGTGAAGAAGAAATTCTTCTTTTTCTTCTTTTTGTCCTTTTGCCTCCACTGTTTCCTGTTCATCATCTGACAGCTAAGCTCCTCACTGTTCCTGGTTTTTGTGTTGGACTAGAATGTTCTTGAGTTTACGCATCTTCTCCGTTGTTTCACTCAGTATTACTCTGACAGTACAGTCCCAGTTGTGGTCTGTTTCTGTTTTCAGCCTAATGCTGTAGCTCGTAAGCTCCGTGAGGAATGATTATACAGTGAAAGAGATGCTAGGGATTGCTTTGCGATCCCACTCTGCTCACTTCTGTTTGGATGTGTTTGTTCGCAGACTTACTCATGAATCGTTGACTGCCCTTGAAATTCCTAATGACCTGTTACAGACTATCCAGGATCTCATCTTGGATCTCCGAGTACGTTGCGTAATGGCCACGTTGCAGCACACGGCGGAAGGTGTGTTTTGATAAATCGGTGACGTTCACTGTGCAATGATTATCTGAATGTGCCACCTCCTTTCAGTGTCCAAATCCTTGAAAACAAGGGAAAATTACTCTTCTGGAAATTGGAATATATTAGTTCATCTTATTTCTAGCTGCTCAATAAGTGTTTTTTCTTTTTGTGATGTATTGTTGAGAATTAAGACCATGCAGAAACTAAGATGGATACACTTGAAAATGTTTAAAGATATAAGAATATTGTTATGATAAATGTTAAGTAGAAAACATAGGGTATAAAATGTACATAAAGTCTGATCTCACTTTTGAAAATATATGGATGTATATTTTTAAATTTTAATTTACAGAAATCAATGTCCAATCAAAGGAAACTCTGTTAGTGTTGGTTCTCTGGATTCCAGAAATTATAGATGATTCTTGTTTTCTTTATACTTTTTAAATTTTTCAGGCTTTTCTACATAAAATCATAAAAAAACCATAAAGGTTTTCTTTACAAAGCAGCCTTTTAGTTATTAAATATTTTCAAAAATAAGAACATTGCTAAAATGGCACAGGCCTTTACTATCTACTACCAGGCTTGGCTTTTTAGGTAGGAAGCTTACATCTCTGCAAAATTGGTGGGCGATACTGTGTAAATGGGAAGGGAATGGAACCCAGGTGAGAAGTTGGATATTCCCCTCTTAGTTGATTACCTCCTCCTCACCTAGGAACCTGAGCCTGCCCCAAGGCCGAAGGTTTGAGCAGGTGGCATTCCCTTAGCCAACTGAGAATCATATTGCCCTTGTCAGGAATCTGTAGGATTCAAAAAACAGCCAAATTACTCATCAGAAATTTTAGGAAAAAAAATACTGTATGACTTATTTTGTACATGCCTAGTGTTGTGAAGAATCCTGAATAAGTAATAAATGATTGTCTCAAGTTGTCATTAAATCCAACGTAGAATTCCCCAAATTGGGCTATACAGTAAAAACTTTTATTCACATTAATATCTTAGTAGAATCATCCAGTGAACAATATGTACTTAAATCATCAAGTCTACCAAAATTATATTCTTTGCCTACTTTCATCGAGTTTTTACAAACCTATATAAAACAATGAAAAACCATAACCTGTATACATTTTTAATCTGTATAAAATTTAGTGAGATAATTATAATAAAGTATTTGTGTGCTTCTTCTCATATAGAAATAAAGAGATTAGCTGAAAAAGAAGACTGGATTGTTGACAATGAAGGACTGACTTCTCTAGTAAGTTTAAGTTCTTTTCAATTATTAGTCATTAGTGTGTATTTAAAATAAATAGTTTATCATATTAATAGGGAGCATGTGCTCCATGTGTTGCAGCTCTAAATAGAAATAGAAGCTTCTTAAAGGTTTTCTTCTCAGAGACATTTTTGCTTAACACGAACCATAAATATTGAAAAATTAATGAGAACAATGCGTTTCTTTTAGACTTGACCTTTTTCATCCTGTATAACTTACGATTTTTGTTTGAATTAGTTTTTTAAAAACAGAGTATGCTCAATTCTAAATTACTCAGCAACTTGAGCTTTTCCGGAAAGCAGGATAGAAGAGATGACGTTGCTGGCTCCAAAGCCAAAACAAACCAAACAAACAAAAACAACCACCACAGACCACTGCAGATACATTCTCAGGCCAGGCAGCCAACTGTGACCTGTTTCTAGAATCTTCATCTTTTCAGCTGGGACTTTTAGGTTTAAAAATCATCTTCATGATTTCACGGGTTTTCACACTTGTCTCACGGGTGCCCCTCGCGGTCCTGTGGGTGGCTGTGCCAGTGACGATGGCCAGGCAGCGGCCGACACATCCCAGTGGCTTTCACCAGGGGGGGACTTCTGTCTCTCACAGCAGCCTGGCAGCGTGGTCACACAGTCAGTGCCCAGGGCTGCCTCCATCCTTCTTCCCTGTGACCCTTCACACTGCCTTCTACTCAGGCTGGCCTCGGGGTCACTCGTGGCCTGGCTGCTGTCAGGAAGAAAGTCCAGTCCCCTCCCAGGAGCCATAACTTGCAACTCTCCTCCATCTAATTGGTCAGAACACATTCCATGCCTGTCCCTGTTGGCAACAGAGGTCGGGAGAGCACGTGGCTGCTCCTGTTTTCTGTCTTACCTTATTAAGAAAAAAGGATAGGCTGGGTGCGGTGGCTCACGCCTATAATCCCAGCACTTTTGGAGGCCGAGGTGGGCGGATCATGAGGTCAAGAGCGAGACCATCCTGGCCAACATGCTGAAACCCCGTCTCTACTAAAAATACAAAATTTTGCTGGGCATGGTGGTGGGCGCCTGTAATCCTAGCTACTCAGGAGGCTGAGGCAGGAGAATCACTTGAACCCAGGAGGCAGAGATTGCAGTGAGCCGAGATCGCGCCACTGTACTCCAGCCTGGTGACAGAGCGAGACTCTGTCAAAAAAAGAAAAAAAGATAGCAATCCTAGGAGGCAACTAGCAGTTTCTGCCTCAGATAAGGAAACTAGAATGAAATGGTCTTGACTTGCCCAGATTTACAAACCAGTGATGAGTCAGGCTATCAGGAAACAATGATCCTGCACAGTATTTTTAAATTCCCTTGAATTTCTATATAGTCGTGCCTTGGTATCCTCAGCGAAGGCTGGTTCCAGATCCCTTCATATACCA
Source organism: Homo sapiens (assembly GCF_000001405.40). Taxonomy (NCBI): domain Eukaryota; kingdom Metazoa; phylum Chordata; class Mammalia; order Primates; family Hominidae; genus Homo; species Homo sapiens. The sequence goes on along the minus strand of NC_000006.12, from coordinate 561,378 downwards.
AGATCTGAGGACTCTCAAGCCCCTAAAAGTTGGCTTTCTATATCCTTGGACTCTCTATCCAGCCAGTTCCACCATTGGTGGAATTCACAGAGGCAGAACCTGGGGCATGAAGGGCAGACTGTACTTCTCATGGACTGTCTTCTGGGGGCTGGGGAATTTTTGACTCATTCTATTCCTCCAAAGTTCAAGGTCCTATCTTAAGTTAATATATCATTGTACCTTACTTTATATATAACAAGGTGATTTAGAAAAGCAATGCTTTTTTGCAAATTAAATCATGCTTGAAATGAGTTAGGGAAGTTTATTATTTTTAATAAGTCAATTAAGATTCTATTTTAAATGCTTTATTTTTAATAAAAATATTTTAATTGGGCCGGGTGCTGTGGCTCATGCCTGTAATCCCAGCACTTTGAGAGGCTCAGGCGGGCGGATCACCTGAGGTCAGGAGTTCGAGACCAGCCTGACCAACATGGTGAAACCCTGTCTCTACTAAAAATACAAAAATTAGCCAGGCACGGTGGTACATGCCTGTAATCCCAGCTACCTGGGAGGCTGAGACAGGGGAATCACTTGAACCCGGGAGGCAGAGGTTGCAGTGAGCCGAGACCGCGCCATTGCACTCCAGCCTGGGCAACAAGAGCAAAACTCTCATCTCAAAAAAAAAAAAAGAAAGAAAATTTTAATCGATTGGGTTTCTATTCGTCACAATTATTTGTATTTAAATAGTGACTAGTCTATAGCTAATTCTCCCTCACACTAAATCTTTAGAGAAAGGTATGGACCTGCACCACCTGCACAAAAGGCAGAATGTGAACCATCTCCACGTTTTACATGCACTACCTGGGAAATAATAATATTTGGATAGACTGCATTAAATAGATTATATGAAAATTGACTTTATGGGTTTATTTTTTAAAAGCTTTTTAAAATGTGATTACCGGTAAATCTAAGATTTCTTACATGGCTTCTGTTTGTGGCTAACATTATACACCTATCGGACAGCACTGGTGTGAAGGGAAAACTTATTGCACTTGATTTGGAATCAGAACCTACTTCAATCTTCCATGTGGTCCTAAAGAAGCCATGTAGTCTGTCTGACCCTAGAGTCTTAGTCTGTAAACAGGGAGCAGAACACATCTTCACAGTGATGTGGGTTAGGATACAATGAGATACTGTGGACCGAAGCACCTGGTAAACTGCAAAGCTCTGGACAAACATAAAGGATTTTTATTTGTTAAATTAATACTTGTGATCACTGGGCTACTATGATAATAATACATGAAGTTTACTGTGTTCAGAGCTCTTTTCTATAGACCTATCCTAATGATCACAGCAAGCCTGAAGACAGGCCAGAAGGGATCATTGGGCCACCATCCACTGAATCACTTGCCCGAGATGAAGCAGGTGCAGGCAGGTTAGACATACCTGCCTCAAGTCAGTTATGTGCAAATGGAAAAAAATTATATGTTCAGTTTGAGAAGGCAGAGTCTGCTGTCAGGGTCCTATTCCTCATTCTTAAAATCTGCCATCAATTCAGTAACTCTGAGCCATAAAACAGGGATTGGCTTCAGGTCCTTCTTCAGGTCAGTGCCTCGGGTACACGTGGTCAGCCAGTGTGTGCTTCCCTGGAAGCCTCCAGACCTCGTTTGCCTGATTGTAGTATATCAGCCTCTGTGAAAATGCTCTGAAATAGTTACTTCAGAAGCTTCTTTGTAGTTTATTTTTAAACTTTAAGTAGTGCAACTGCAACCATAAAATAACTGATTTCATGTTTGATCTCTCACACAAGCCACATAACTATCTGCAGGGACGAAAGAACTGACCCCCAGTGCACCTTGCGAATGAATGAGCCCTAGGAAATAGCACGTCTGGAGTCAGCCAAGACATTGTCTAGCCAGAGGTCCTTGAAGAAGTGTCCTACCACGATAGACCTGATAACACTGAGTCAGTTTTTTAGCTATTCCGCGTGGACCTCTTAAGAGAAAACGTGAATCAATGTTTAGAAAATCCCATTTTTCTAAACATTAGATATCCCTTAATGGGATAATCCCATTGCTTATCCCATTGAGGACATCAAGGTCAAGCACTGCCTCACTATGACTGTCCCTCGGCTGAGGCATTCTCTCTGATTAGAGCTTTGCTTCAGAGCTCAGAAACAGCTCACTCGAAAGCATCCTGTTTTCTTCTCATGCTGAAAATGGTTTCTGCCTCTTTTCAATTTGGATAATTCTGAGATTCTGAGAATTTTCTTCTTTCAGAAGAACTGGAATGATTTGTGATAACTTTTGACAGTCATCTAAATTGGATGACTCACTGACAATACACAGAGACAGAACTATTTCTTTTGAGAAAAAAGAAATAGTGAATGTGTAGACTATCACCTACTCCCGGTTCAACTGAAAGCACTCATTGAACTTTCTAGTATTCTGTTTCTACTTATTATATTAGTGTGGGTATAAAAATAAAATTAATAAGAAAGTTGAGTCCAAATTTTAATAGAAGAAATCTAAACAACCACACATGAACATCAACATTTACTTATTTTTTTTTTAATTTTTAATTTTTTTGAGCCGGAGTCTCGCCTGTCACCCAGGCTGGAGTGCAGTGGCATGATCTCGGCTTACTGCAACATCTGCCTCCCTGGTTCAAGTGATTCTCCTGCCTCAGCCTCCTGAGTACCTAGGACTACAGGCACGCACCACCACACCCAGCTAATTTTTTGTATTTTTAGTAGAGATGGGGTTTCATCATGTTGGCCAGGCTGGTCTCGAACTTCTGACCTCAAGCAATCCACCCGCCTCAGCCTCCCAAAGTGCCGGGATTACGAGCGTGAGCCATCGCACCTGGCCAAACATCAACATTTAATGGCCCACGGTTGAATTTCAGATTCGATTGTCAATATTATAGTAATAATTATCATTGTAACATCTTAAATTTTCATACCTTCTGAGGTGGGTAGGTTAGATGAGTAAGGTCAGTAACCTAACAAACATTTTGCCTCTTTAAATGCTTTCTGTGCAGTTGGTATTTCATCCTCTATTTCTTATTTTATTACTGTTTTTGTACTTTCACTTTTAAGTATTCTTTATAATGCCCTCTGGTGGTTTCAAAGTGCAGAAATAACATGACATTAAAGCTGAGGCACTGTTTTAGCTTTCATTAAGTCTGGGTTCCTTTCCATAAGAAAATAAACTTGTCTTTTTAAAAGATGTATATAGATGTCACTTCCTTTCTTCTCTTCAGTTTTTTTCCCAAACTCTTTTAAAAATTAATGCATGTGTTGAAGAGAGGTTCTCAGTCCCAGTGTTTTGCACACAACTGCTTGGTTGAGCCTTGAGCCTTCCATGTCTCGCTGCTCCGGATGAAGCCCGGCCGCCTACCCCATCTCTCAAGACCTGTGCTCATGTTTGGTGGTTCTGACACGCTGCTCTTGTCTCGCTGCTCCGGATGAAGCCTGGCCTCCTACCCCATCTCTCAAGACTTGTGCTCATGTTTGTTGGTTGTGACACGCTGCTCTTCCTGTGCTCCTGCTTTCCCAGTGGTTTCTTGCCCACTCTGCGGGGTGGGTACACTGTCGTCCTCTGAGAACTTGCTCCTCTCCTTCCCTGTTCCTTCAAAGGGCTGGTCCCTCTTCCCCTTCCCGTCTCAGCATCAATGTTCTCACAGTCTTGGGGGCCTTCTATGACCATCCTATTTACAGCCGATCCCCCATCATGATTGTTCTCTCAGTTCTTCTTCTTTTCTTTTTTTTTTTTTTTTTTGAGATGAAGTCTCTCTCTGTCACCCAGGCTGGAGTGCAGTGGCGCAATCTTGGCTCACTGCAACCTCCGCCTCCTAGGTTCAAGCGATTCTCCTGTCTCAGCCTCCCGAGTAGCTGGGACTACAGGCGCGTGCCACCACGCCTGGCTAATTTTTGTATTTTTAGTAGAGATGGGTTTTCACCATGTTGGCCAGGACGGTCTCAATCTCTTGACCTCGTGATCCGCCCACCGCAGCCTCCCAAAATGCTGGGATTACAGGCGTGAGCCACTGCGCCCGGCCAAATTCTACTTCTTTTATTCATGACACTTACTATTTTAATTATTTTATTTCTATACTTTTTTAAACCATTTTGTCAACTTTGACTTTCATGATCGTGTCTTCTGCCTGAAATATACACATAATGAGAATTCTGTCTTACTTATTCCTGTATCTTCCTTAACCTAGAGTAGTTCCTGGCACAAAGTGAAAACTTAAACACCCTTAGGAGCTAAGATTCATTCTAGCTTGTCTTGAAATGCCATTGGTTGGGCATATTTTCAGGTTTCATTTTCTGACTTAATGTAGATAGAAAATGACTGTTTACAATCTATCTGATATAAAGATCCTGTACATCCTCTAGGTCATTATTATTATCATTAAATTTTGTTTAACAGTTCCAGAGATGTGGAAGATCTAGGAGACTCAGCTCATCCCAGAATATCCTTCAGAATTAGCATTCAAAATATAAACTCATTATATCTGCTCCTCGTTGTATATTGGCCTCTTAGAAGAGTAGAATTTTGAAGAAAATTTTTAGTCATATCTGAGTTTTATTGTAGTTGAATTAGATATACTTTGGAGTCTCAAGATTGATTCATTCTAAAATACGAAGTACAAAACATATGCCAAACCTCTGAAACTCAATGACTAGGAGATGACTTTTCAGATCGTGTGTCTGTTCCATTCCATTAATCTGGAAAATGTGGGGCTTGGGGCCATATTCGCTTGTGTTAAACATGTCTTCACAGCCAGTGCTCATTTTTGAGTTTTACAATATGCTGTTTTCCCTTCAGCCATGTCAGTTTGAACAGTGCATCGTGTGTTCTCTGCAGTCACTGAAGGGGGTTCTGGAGTGCAAGCCGGGAGAGGCCAGTGTAAGTATTCCAGCTCCGCTTGGACTCCAGTTTCCCAGGGAGCCTTGGGAATCATAGTTGTAAATTTTTGACTCATCGTACTGCAAGATCTTTTCTCCCTCTTCGCCTGCTTGTTCCATTTAGTTTAACTGCGTAGATGTGCTGATTTCCGATTCCAAGCCAGGCCGATGCAAGTTAAAGTGTGAGTGCAGGTGTTGTAGGTGGAGTGGTTACAGTGATAGCACTTTGTGGACAGCTATTGATGGGCCTGGCTCTTGACCATCAGCCCAGGACTGCGTTGTCTTCTCCAGCCCAAGTCACTACAGTAAGGAACACCTCCCAGTAGGCCCACTCTTCGCACGCCTCCTTTTATAGGAAGGGCACCACTCCTGCAGCAGCGTTCCACGTTTTAACTGTTCATATCTAACTTCATATACAAAAACCTTTTCTTAGCAAAGTCCAAAAATTTTCATCAAAATTCTTCCTTACAGGTCTTCCAACAACCTAAAACACAGGAGGAGGTTTGCCAGCTAAGCATCAATATAATGCAGGTAATAATAGAAAGCAGTAATGCTGAAAGCCTCAAATAATACTAAGTGTCAGTCAACCCCTCTCCTATTTATAATCTGCAGATGACGTTCACCAAATAGGTATTCTTTTTTCATCTTGTCTGTGTACATAATAGTTTAAGGTAAGTGGGTAACAAAGTTTAATGTAAGATTAATTCCAACTTGTTTTAGCAATACCCAAATGTTTCATTTATGTTATGCTCCCCTTTTTTGTGTTCTCTTGGTACTTTCTATGTATTCTGTTCGAGCACAACGTAAATTAAATGATATTTAGTTGTTCACATTATATCTAGGGTATAAAGTATTGTTATTGGGACCAGTGCTTTGCAGGCACATAAAGTTGAGAATGTGGGTGAATGAATAAGAGAAAGTCTTTTTCCGGAATATATCTTTACAAACTTAATAATTGATCAAAACATAGGCACTTCTAATTGTCTATTACTTATGTGATAGATATGGCTGGGATATATATTTCTGTCATTAATGGGGCATATACAGTATATACACATATTCATACATGCACACAACACCACACCACTAATGAGATATATAATTCTACTTTATGTAAAGTTATCTTTAGTGTCCAAATAGATTAATGTCTAGGAGTTCATTCCTCTGAGAGTTCTGAAACTTATGTTTTCACTTAGGTTTTTATATACTGTCTGGAACAGTTGAGCACCAAGCCTGATGCAGATATAGATACTACACAGTAAGTAAAAATTAAATTAATCTCATTAATGCATTTAAGAGAATTAAAAATACAGGCTCAAGTTTTATGCTTGGTCTTATATCCTAAGACTTCTAGTAAGAAAGAAAGATTGTTCATATCGAAGTAATAGTTTTTTTTTATATTCGACCTATATTCTTTCCATAGTTTATCTTTTCAACTCATCTTTGCCTTATTAGAGACAAATCAAGCAAATTGAAGACATGATTAGCTTATTAATTATCCAAAGAACAGGTTTTATAAATAATAAAGTGTTAAATGTAAATATGTAACTCCTAGTTGATGATTTTTACAATTCTGGTGTTAGGGGGAGGCACCATTGCTCTTGCTAGAGACTAAGCATGTTGGTAGAATTATGTCAAGCTTAGTTATTGGAGCTCCAGTGGACACATGTTAGCTCTTGATGTTTACAAATCCATATGGTAATTCTTTTATAATGCTGTTGTATAGGACAGCATTGTAAAGTGCTGGTTTTTTTTTTAAGAAATCCGTTCTTTCTGAATTATACTTGGCATGTGTAACTTCTGTGTACTTTATGCTCTGACACAGATAATACTGAAATAAATGCCTCTTATATCTTCAGTTGACAACTTGGGAATTTATCCATGTTTGTCTATTTACTGGTTTTGGCTTTTGCTTTTCAGTATATAAAACTATCACCTCCCTAGAGACCCAATAAGTTTTTAATTCTCCTAGGTTTTCTTTGATTTGATTTCATATTTTTAGCTCATTATTTCACCAGGAATTGGTTGTTAGTCAGATCCCTCATATTATGGATTAAATGTCATGTTGCCCATGTTAACAGATTATCCATAGTACCTTCTTCGAGCTGTTAACTGTTAAGTCTAAAACACTTATTAAAAGTTTCTGGCCGGACATGGTGGTTCATGCCTGTAATTCCAGCACTTTGGGAGGCCGAGGCAGGCGGATCACGAGGTCAGGAGTTTGAGACCAGCCTGGCCAACATGGTGAAACCCTGTCTCTACTAAAAATATAAAAATTAGCCAGGCATGGTGGCGGGCGCCTGTAATCCCAGCTACTCAGGAGGCTGAGGCAGAAGAATGGGTTGAACCCAGGAGGAGGAGGTTGCAGTGAGCCAAGAACGCACCATTTGCACTCCAGCCTGGGGGACAAGAGCAAGACTTCATCTCAAAAAAAAAAAAGTTATGTGACTTTCACCAAATGTTTTCCATATAATTCATTGCACGTTTAAATTTGCGTATAGTTCATTGCATTTTTGAATTTGAGTGCTTTATTTGTAACTGTTCCTACTTGCTTCTATGTTCAGTCTCTCTGTTGATGTTTCTTCCCCTGACTTGTTTGGAAGTATCCATGAAGACTTCAGCTTGACCTCAGTAAGTCAGACGATAACTAGAAAGTAAACCATTTTAAAACTGTGTAACAACAATTTCGCAAATCTAATGACTGTGTTCCTGCATCCTTGCTATAGCACGTGGTATAGGACACTGTGCTGTGCTTTGGAGCTCTATTATGTGAAATTTTCAGGAAAGTATAATTTATATGAATTTCACAATTAACACTTTTAGCTGGAGTTGCAGTGTCAGTCATTCCATATACTGTCTGCATCTGTGTGGTTTCCGAGTGTTAAATGGGTGCCCTTATAGTTCCTGGTGCTTGAGAGTTGCCAGGGTGGGTTGGGGAGCAGGCAGAGGACAAGGATGCCCACCCCCTCACGGCTCCTGCCTCTTCAACCAGAGTAGTTCTGCTTTTCTCTGTTTTATTTCTATAAGTTCCATCGTAGCCTTTTATTTGAGCACAGCCTCAAATAGATACACACACACACACACACACACACACTTATACACAAACAGATGTATGCATACACTGCATATATACATATGTATATATACACACACACTTTTTAAAATGTATACATGTATTTAAGGAGATTCACAAACATATATTATCATGTGTATAAATTCATCTGTTGAAACTCAAACTCTAGCTATCATAAATAAAATAACCCTTTCTGGCCAGGCACGGTTGTCATGCCTGTCATCCCAGCACTTTAGGAGGCCGAGGCAAGTGGATCACTTGAGATCAGGAATTCCAGACCAGCCTGGCCAACAGGGCAAAACCTCGTCTGTACCAAAAGTACAAAAATTAGTCTGGTGTGGTGTCGGGTGCCTGTAATCCCAGCTACTCGGGAGGCTGAGGCAGGAGAATCGCTTCAGCCCAAGAGGAGAAGCTTGCAGTGAGCCAAGATGGCTCCACTGTGCTCCAGCCTGGGTGACAGAGTGAGACTCCATCTCAGAAAAATAATAATAATAAATAACCCTCTCTGGTTTGTCATGAGTTTGAAGGGGGGGTGTGTGTGTGTGTGTGTGGTCTGTGTCTGTCTCAAGGTAAAACTGTTTGACCCAAATGTTCTACTATATATGTAAGTATGAATACCTAAATAAGGGATTTGGTATATTAGAAAAAATATAGTTTGGTCAAAGTAATTTAAAAAATTATTCTAGATTCAATTCCTTGGATGACTAGGTAGAGAATGATACCATTCACTGAGACAGAAATTCAGGGAAAACACAGGCTCACGAGAACCTGGGTTTTTTTTTGTTGTTGTTGAATGGGTGACATACAGGTAGAGATATCCAGTGGGTGATTGAATGTCCTTGTTTAGATCCCAGGAGAGAAATCTAGATACAGATTTGTGAATCAGCAGTATATAAGCAATATATAAGGCCTGGGAGTAGATAAGAACACCAAGAATTCTGGCTGAACAAAAGAAAAATGCTGGTTCTTCTGTTCACCCAGAATTGCAGGTGGAGTCGCCCCAAGAGTGGTGGCGGGCCATCCCGAGCCACCCCAAAATGAGGTCAGCTGGCCTTCCAAAGCAAGAAGCATGAAATGCAGGGTCATCAGTGCAAAGCATTAGGGAACGACACACAGAGGGGGCGGCACTTGGTCCTCACAAGGAAAAGCAGGGAGCGACGTCCTGCCTAGGTATGTCGGCAGTGAGGGGGCCTGGGTGTGGACTTCATGGGAGGGTTTAAAGCATTTGCCTCAGGGCGGGGCTGATTTCTGCTATTTAGCAACGTGGTTGATCTCTGTGTTTTCTGCTATAGCTTAAAGAGCTTCATCGGTGCCTGGGAGGTCATGGTCCCCACTTGGGTGCAAGCCTGCAGGGGAAGGCAGTCAGCTGGCCCAGTCAGAGCCGCCAAGGCACTCTGTGCTCCTCCAACAGGGCGCGGAGAGAAAGCGAGGGAAGCTGGGGAACCCTACCCTCACTGAATGAGAGAAGGGCCAAATATATAAAAATAATGTTGAGGGTGCCAGTATTTATGGGCTCACCAGTAGCAGAGAGCCTCAGTTTGCCCTGAAAAGGGTTAATCAGAGAGACAGAAGGAAATCCAGATAGAGCAGCACTCCTGAGAGGGATGGAAAATCCCATTTAAACAAAGGAATGCTTAGCAGCCCCAAGGGCTGAGGGGCTTGTGGAGCATGGAAATGCGGCAGGCTAGGGGAGTCCTGTGGAGACAGGGCTGCAGGAGAGGGCCTCCCGAATGGAGACTGCTGGAGTCTTCCCCTTGCTGGCACTCTGAATCCTCAGGCACTCCCTCCTGGTGTGCTGTGTCCCTGCACTTGGGGTGGTCCTGCTCTTGTGCCTCTTCCAGTGGGTGGAGCACAAGAGTCAGCCCTGGACTCCCTGTGACGCGGCAGCTCTCAGCTGACTCACATTGAGCCTATTCTCAGCTATCCCCCCAGGCACCTCACATGTGTCTCTGCAGGTTGCAGGGCCTCCTCTCTCCTGCCTTAGTCTCCAGTGTTTTTTTGTGACCAAATTCAGTTCCTCTGTATTCTCCATTGAAAGCTATCTCATCAGATTTGGTGCGATCTTCTTAGGGTCTTGTTCTGTTATCCAGAAGGGAAGCAGCTGTGGTAAGGAAGGTATCTAGATTCGGAGTCAGAAGACACTGGTTCGCATCCTGTGTGACCTCAGGCACATCACTGAGCGGGTTCTCCTGAACGGAACGTGGGGGATCACTGAAATAATCTAAGACCATATTCATCACCTGCACGTGCTACATTTGATGGGCGGCGTTGTTTTCAAACGTGCGTCTCCATCTTAGTTGTTAATAAGCTTTTGACTAGTCATCCACGGTCCAGAGTCTGTGCTGTTCAGTTTTTCTTTCCACTTTTATTGCATCTGAATGATTACATTTGAGCAACAAATGTACTTATAGGAGGAAGACTTTAAATCACTCAAATAGCTTTTCTGTTTTTTAAGAGTCATGCAAATTACAGTGAGAAAAACAAAGAGAATTTACAGGGCAGAGAAGATGTGGCAGGCTCAGGTCTGCTAGATAAGGAGACTTGACTCTGGAAGGAAAAAGTAACTAAGGATTGATTTTCAAAACTGAGCAACCAGCTGAGGTTTTTGAGGCGAACAGCATGTTGAAGGCAGCTGATGAAATGTGAGGTTTACTTACTCCTTGTCCTTACAGGGACTGCGTCATGGTGACTCCAGGCCCGGGGACTGGAGGGGAATGTAGCGTCCTCGTCCCTCCCTCACCTGGGCGAGTTTCCAGTGCTTATTCACTGTTTTCCTTCTGGCCGTTTATTCACGAAACGTGGAGGAGTATCATACATAATACAACCCTATTTACCTTGTCTTATACCCCATTTCCTAGCCATAGAGTAACTCAAGGCCGTTCGCTTGTTTGAAGATCCTTTAATACTCCCTAGGCCTTTTACTTATGTTTGTTGATGACTAGAAACAGGTAGTGAATAGGCTACACACTCTGCCAGAAATAAAGATGGGAACATTCAAAATAAAAGAATCTAGAAAGTTTTTGGAAACTGCTGAGCTGAATGAAATTATTGGGAGATATAAAATACTCTTGGTGACTAAATTCAAGGATGTTATCTTTTTTCACATATCCAAAAAAATAGGAAGCTCTTTCCACATTGACTATATCGAATTACTTTCCTGTAAGTTATTCTGGTTATGCACAGAAAGAGCATGCAGAGTATGTGATGGAAAGTGTTTTTTGCCAAAGGTTTAGTCAAAGGATCTAACTCAAGGCTCTAGATTAGTCAAAGTTGTTCCAGAGAAGGCCCGCCTGCCTGCGGGAGCACAGGTTGGGTGCCTCGGTGAACCGCACCAGCAGCAAAAGGGCAATTCCTGGAATTTTATTTACCAGGTAGTCTTGAACTGTGAAAGGACACTGTGTTTATCAGCATTTGTGTCTGGTAGTTTTCGTAAGAAATTACTTTAGGTGGACAGAACCCTGGAGAATGTAGAAGTAACTGGCTTGTACCCCTTCCTCTTGGCAACACTGACCGTGTCCTAAGGTGGAGTCCTCCACCCTCAGTGACCCTCACTCCCCATTAGAGGGAGATTATTCCTTGTTTTCTTCTGCAAACACAAGCAATTCTTAATGCCCTAAGGTATTTAAAGGAGCCCATCATACAGATATATGGCAGTGTAATTCTGTTCCAGGTTATAAAAATTTATAAACTACTTTATAATAGTTTCTACATTTTAAATGTAATTAGTTATTAAAAATATTCCTGTAGCCTTTTCTTGTATACAAAGTATTAAGTAAACAATATAGTAGAACACTTTTCATAAGCAACACTGATCCCAGTTCCCAGCTGATCCTAGTTAATGGAATTTTCTCAATCTGTTTTTCCATCCAAGCTGTTAAGTCTTAAAGGAAATATTTGATTCTTTAGTATATTGCATGTAATTATAAGCAAATAGTAGAGTTGCAGGATTTTACTGTGTTTCTCTTTATGTTATAATATTGGGAAAGAAGCAGCCAAGAAAAGCAAAGCATTGGATATTGACGTTAAAGAGCAGAGATTATAATTAAACTTGACAAGTGTTAATCAGCTATTCTCTCTGGCACCATAAAGGTGATTTTCTAAACATTTGTTTTGCTTTTAGGAACAGCGCCTTTTGATAGTCCTAAGTAATTGCTGCTATCTAGAACGTCACACCTTCCTAAATATCGCAGAACATTTTGAAAAGCACAACTTCCAGGGAATAGAAAAAATCACACAGGTAAGCGAGTTCATGTAAAACGCACAAGTCGGTGGTTTTACCAGCTCAGTTTTCAAGCTGTTTCCTAGCCTGTGTTCTGCTAGCAGTGCCCATTCCCTCTGCGTGCCGCCCCCACAGCCACACTGCTTCCCCGCCTTCACCCTGCTAAAGCTTTGGATGATTCCCTTCCTTCCCATGGTTCACCTTGAATGGTTAATTTAATACCCTTTTCTTTTCTCTAGAGCAGAGCTCCCTCAAGGTTACAGCTGGTTTACTCCTCACCTGAGCTGTTCAAAAGTGAGGGAAGAAAATGAGGAGGGAAAGGCAGCAAACCCAGATCTTTCAGAATTATCTCATATTTGACTCCTTTTAGGTGAACGCTTTAGATACAGCCAGCAGCAAACTCCCTGAGCCTGCAGAAAAACCTCTTCCTGCGTATTCACACCTCTCCTTCCTCTCTCCCTTTCTGTATGACCTCAAGGATGCTTTTGCTTTGCTGCTTTGTGCATGCACGCGTGCACACACAGCCGCTGGCTCAGAACAGCTGCAGGATGCTCTGCATCCTACCTGAAAAATATGTCCTCCCCACTCTCCAATCACTGCACGCAGAAAGATTGGGCAAAAGGGAGTCCAGTAGAAATTAATGGAGTGAGTTTTCTTTTTAATGTTACACTTTGTTGTTTATATTTTTTTCAACTAAGCAGAAAAGGAAAAAATGAAGTAACCTTGTTATTAAGGTTGATTGGTTCCTGGGCAAAGGTTTATCAGATTTCTCAGTAAAACTATGCTAGTACCACTTTTTAATGTCAGTACAGTTTTCTCAATGCAAAGAATGAGAACGATAATGATCTGGTTAATCTTATAATCAACACGCACTCAGGGTTACCTACTTTTTATAAATGGTGGTTCCAGTTCGTGAACTACATTGGGATTTTTTTTTCAAAGAGTGAAAATGTCAAAGTGGGCGGCCCTGTCTTGTTTTCCTGCCTTTTTGTAAAGATTAATCATCCTGATGAGAAATGTCGTGACTTAAGCCTTTGGGGCCAAATGTCTAGTTTATTTCCAGAAATTTTTGTGTTAAGAATTGCAAGGTGCTATCTTGCAGTAAAAAAGTGGCTATTTGTAGAAGGTGGTTGCTTTGTTTTTATATAACAACAATGACATGAATATATTTATTGGAGAAATGTTATTTATCATTTTAAAATATGTGAAATGATTAGGAATTGCATGTAAAAGAAGCAAGTTTGGTTTTCTCTAGGTTTTTTGCAGTACTAAGTAGGAACTGTTGCTTCACTTTATATCACTAAGAAGTAGAATTAAATTAATTCTTAAAAAGATTTTTTCATATCCTTCCTTGTCTTTGTCCAGATCATTTTGAGACCAAGATAATACAAAGGATCTGGAGATTTAGCAGTATAAATGGTAGGCTCTTTCCCACTCAGAATTTGGATTTTTTTTTCATCGACCGTCTTGAATATTTTGAAATTCAGTTGTGTTTAGAATGAATAGATAGTAAACTAGATTTAGATGATAACATTTGCACTGATTTTATTCATTTGTGAATCTGTTAATTTCATGATTCCAACCAAGTAAAGTCTATTTCTGGCATCAAAGGGAAAGGTCTGCTGACTCTGCCACTGTTTTTCATAGTTTTCCCTCCAAAAGACAAATAATTCTAGGGGCATCGATCCCAGAAGAGTCACAGGGCACAGGTCACAGTGGATGGCTTATTCATTCCCTCTCTGTTTCCGCACTTGAAGATGAGGGTCTCTCATAGGGGGACCTCATGTCACTGGGTGTGAGACCTTCTCTCAGACTCCTCTGGTGTGAGCCAGGGCAGGCCAAGTGTTTCCTCCGGGGATATTTCCTCCTGCTTTCTTACTGGTACTTACGCCAGGAAAGGCATTAAACGGCCAGTTTTTCATTCCCTTCACCTGTTCCTCACCTTGAAACATGGAGATAAATTAGTCTTAATATAGGAACAGGAGACAAATAAATGTTTTTAGGGGATTATTAAAATGTAATGATCAGTGACATTTGAAGCTAGAATGATTTTATACATACACTTTTATTTGGTGCATGAAATCAGGAATGGTATCATCAGCTCCATAATCTTCATAGGGAAAGATACCCAGAGAGGTCAAGGACTTGACCTGTAAGAGCACAGCAAGGCAGGACTCAAAATTACATTTTCTCATTCTAAATCCGGAATGCTTTCTGGTCCAGCACCATGCATCTTAAAGAATAAAACTGGTCTCATGATAATACAGTTGACCCTTAAACAACTCAGAGGTTGGGGTGCCAACCCCCTGTGCAGTCGAAAATCTAAGTGTAACTTTTGACCACCCTAAAACCTAACTACTAGTAGCCTCCTGTTGGCTGGAAGCCTTATGAATAAAACAGCCTATCAGCATGTATTTTGTTTATCTATTGCATACTGTATTCCTGTAATATAGTAAGCTGGAGAAAAGAGAATGTTAAGACAATTATTAGGAAGACAAAATATATTAACACTATTCATAAAGTGGAAGTGAATAATTATTATGAAGGTCTTCATCCTCCTCATCTTCATGTGGACTAGGCTGAGGAAGAGCAAGAGGAGGGGTTGGTCTTGCTGTGTCAGGGGTGGCGGAGGCAGAAGAAAATGCGTGTATAAGTGGACCCACATAGTTCAGACCCGTGGTGTTCAAGGGTCACCTGCACACCAAAGAAATGAAAATAGGACCTGAAGCTGGTTGATTAGTGTACATTGTTTTGGCCTTTATGAAACCACATTGAATGATAATTCATGAGATCAGGGTATCCAAATCATCTTCTTCTACATTGTTCCTCCTTAAAAATAAGCCCCGTTATAAACCTTTGGTGGACTCGGTGCTGTCTGAATCCAGAAGTATGTGCCAACAGGGAGCGTCCTGCCATGTGCATGCATTTTCATTAGTATTGCCTGTACCATTTAGCTTTTGCTCAAGTCCTGGAGATGTCTTTTTCCAGTCATGCATTTTTTTTTCAACTTATAAAAGTAAGATCCAACCGTTATTCTTAAAAAGAAAAAATATTGGGAAGTCTAAAAAAAAATAAAAATTAAAATAATCTATAATGCACCAACCAAAGGTAGACACTACGATTTTAATATTTATAGTAACCATGACTTTATATATCCTATCTATATGTTATAAAAATATGAAACATGGTGAAAAGGAATTTGAGAAAAAAAGAAACATTTTTCTGAATTCATTTGACATTGTATTTTTCTACTGAATATATTCTATCATGAGTACTTTTCCATTTTTATTTAATATTTTTGTAAAATGTGTCTTATGGCTTTATAACATTTGTTAATGTGGGTATACGTAGTATTTTTAACCTCTCCCATACTAGTAACCTTAAGGTTATTTTTAATTTTTGTTGTTGTTACTGAGAAGTGAAGATAATCTTTGATCACATGTCTAATTACTTCCTCACGATAGAATCCTGAAGTAGATTCACAGCCCCAGAGGTACTTGGTAAATATTGCCAGATAGCTTTTTGGAAGCTGATCTCATCACATTTCTGTCATCTTTTTAATTACGATGTTTAATTCGATAGGTTAAAATAGGCTTTCATTGTATTTTAATTTGCATGCCTTTTTCTATTTAGGAGGTTAGCGCTTTTTCTTCTGTTATTGACTGTTTATATTCTAGAAGAACTAATTTTGAAGGCTCTTAGAGAGTTAAGATACATGTTGCAAATAAGTTGCAATTTAAGTGTGCAAACCAAATTTGCCACCAACCAAATTCTTTCATACCTTTGAGAAAGGAAAACCAGAGTTGTATGGTTAATAAACTTCAGCGTATAATTTTATTGTGGTAGGTATAATTACATAATTCCAGGGAGTGCTTTTACATATATAAAATACTTTTTTAATCTGTCCCAGTCTTTAAAAATAAGCATCTAATTCAGAATTTGTATACTTCCAGATTTTCACCTGACGAAGCCTGTAGACATTAAACATGGCTGGCATTAAATTTTTAATTGAAGTTTTTTTTTTTTTTTTTTTTTTTTTGAGACGGAGTCTCGCTCTGTCGCCCAGGCCGGACTGCGGACTGCAGTGGCGCAATCTCGGCTCACTGCAAGCTCCGCTTCCCGGGTTCACGCCATTCTCCTGCCTCAGCCTCCCGAGTAGCTGGGACTACAGGCACCCGCCACTGCGCCCGGCTAATTTTTTGTATTTTTAGTAGAGACGGGGTTTCACCTTGTTAGCCAGGATGGTCTCGATCTCCTGACCTCATGATCCACCCGCCTCGGCCTCCCAAAGTGCTGGGATTACAGGCGTGAGCCACCGCGCCCGGCCTGAAGTTTTATTTTAAGCCTGTAAATCTCTTTGAGAAACTCCGGCGTGAAAGGTGTGGAGGGGCAGCTCCTTTTTCTTATATGTCCAGGGAAGTTCCTTTATGCTGAGCAGCTGATTCTAGAGTTTTGCGTTGCTTTAACTGCATGTACTGTATTTTACATGTTTGATTATTGTAGCTTATTTGAATATCACTAAATTTCAAGTTGGAAACCATTTGAATACCTAGATGTGAGTGAGTACAGTTTTGTGTCTTCACTGCTGTATTATCTCTATATATATGTGTTTCATTTTCCTTGTGTTATACGTATAAACAAAATCAGCTAAATTTTGTTTACAGGCTATTTTATATAATAAATAAGTTGTAACTTAATCTGTTTCAGAGTTTAAGATCTTACAGACAGAAATTATAAGTTGATCAGATGTGTTTCTGCTTTCAAAACACTGATCCTAATTTTTGACCCTATTTGGCTGCCTTGAGTTTCTTGTTCAAACAGGAAGGGAAAGAATAAACATACATACTTAGAGAGATACCCCATCAGAAGGACTCAGAGACCTTGTCATTTACAAAGTGCTACCTCCCCAATACAGAAAGTACCTGAGAAAAGGTTTCACAAAGCAAGAAAGAACATAAGATTTCACATTCCAGATGCTGTTTCAGAGAGCGGAGGAAAGGCACCACATCTCTTTGGAAAGCTGGGAAGTGCAGGAAATAAGGAGTAAAACAGCTGGTTCTCCAGTTGGGTAGGGTGTGGCATTCCTAAGCCAAAAACTTTGAACCCAAGCCAACAAAATGTAGATAATTGTGGTACCATCCCCTGTATTTCTGTTCTCTGAGCATTTGATTTGTCTGCTTCCTCTTCATACTCAGCAGTTTCTGTAGACGACCTCATCTGCCTCCACAGCTTCACCCATCACTGACGGATGCCCATGATTCCCAGATTCTTTATTTTTGACCTGCATGTCATTCTGATACCTTCGATCTGTTTCCTACCAGACGTCCTCCCTGGAAGTTTCCATCGAGATTTCAAAGCAACCTGGCCTAACCAGTCATCTTCCTCCTTCAAAACAGCTTCTCTTTTATGTGTTCCCTGACTTAGTCAGTAGCCACTGTGGATCACTGAGCCACAGCTTGGGAATGGCTCCTTTTTTTCTGTTTTATTTATTCATTTTTAATTGACAAATAATAATTATGCATATTTATGGTGCACAATGTGATGTTCAACCTAAGCATACATTATAGAAAAGTCAGTCGAACTAATTAACATATTCATCACCTCACCAACTTACCTTTGTTGAGGACATTAAAAATCTTTTAACACTTTTGAAATACACAATACATTATTATTAACTGTGGTTACCATGCCATGCCCTTTGATCAACACCTCCCCTTTCCTGGCCTCACTCTGCCCTCAGCCCCCGGTAACTACCATTCTACTCTCTGTTTCTATGATAATGACTTTTGTAGATTCCACATATAAGTGAGATCACAGTATTTGTCTTTCCGTGCCTGGTTTATTTCATTTAGCATAAGGTCCTCCAGTACCATCCATGTTGCAGATGACAGAATTTCCTTCTTCTTTAAGGCTGTGTAGTATTCTATTGTGTATATGCACCACATTTTAAAATTCATTCATCCATTACTGGGAATTATTCTTGACATCATTCCTCATGATGGTTTTTGCCAAGTCTTTCTTCTCAACTCAACCCCTGAACCATCTTCCAAATCCTTCTCTACCTCTCTAATTTGCTGTTCCTGTCCAAGCTTAGCCCTTTTGCATCATCCGACAGCCGTGGTGTTGTAGGAACCTTCCTAGCGGTTGCTTTGCTTAATGTCTAAACGTTTCCACTCTCCAGCTTATCATCCAGAGTGTCCAGGATGGGCTTTCAAAAACCCAGAGCTCCTCTTGTTCTTCCTCCTCCTGTGTTTCAGGACTCCGTACTGCCTGAAGAGCTAAGCTCCGTAGGCTGGCGTTTGTGTAGGATTTTCATCTGGCTCTCTTGCCTCTTTCTCTCATGGCTTTTTGTCCCCCTACTCCAACACCTTATCATTCAGCCTGGGCACCTGCTCATCTTTACTTGAACATTTCATATACTTTCTCTGTTCATTCACTCATTCAATAAGTACACATTCAATGCCAGCTTACTACGGTGCTCTGTTGTAGGAACATTTATCTGTAGCTTGTGTTGTACTCTCTAGGCCCAGTATTTTCTTTATGAGGTGATGGTTAATGACTGGTCCAATTTCTTAAGTGGTTATAGAACCATTCAGCTTTTTTATTTCTTCCTGTTAGTTGTAGTCATCTGTATTTTTCTAGGACTGCCTTTTCCTCAGTCAATCCGGACTTCACAAAATCTTGATCGTCCACCAAAGCCCACTTGAGATGCAGATGTCTCATCCTTTGTTAAGCCTGTAGGGCCTCTCCTCCTCCATTCCCGAAGTGCAAGGTGCACCGTACCGTCCTCTTTCTCCTTTGATGCCTTGTTCTCGGCACTAGAACAGCATGTCACACATTGCATTATGATTAGTTTAATGGAGATGCACTTCTTTTCTAGATGTACATTCTTTTTAAATGTTTTTATGTTAAATATTTTATCCATATAATAGAATAGATATCGCATAATGTAGGATGTAAGAGAGTGATAAAATGAACCCAGGTGCTCCCACACCACCAAGCTGAAGGAACAAAGCATCCCAGAGGCCTTATGTCCACTTGTGCCCCTGCACAGCCATGCCACCCACCTTCTCCTATAGAGAACTACTTCTGAATTGTGTGGTTTCTAAACAATATTTTGTTTGAAATTACCTTTTTTGACTTTTACATTAGCATAAATAAGATTATATGGTGTGTGTTTTTCTGTGACTTTGTTTTCCCACTCAGTATTATTTTGAGATGTATCCATGTTGTAGCATGTAGGTCATGCTCGTTTGTAACATGAATTAAAGAATATATTCCTTTTTCTTCTTTGAAAGAGTTTGCATAAGATTGGAATTATTTATTCTTTGAATATTTAGAAAAACGCTCTGGTAGTGGTATTTTCCGTATGCCCAGATTTTCTTTGTGAGATGATTGCTAATGACTGGCCCAATTTCTTTAATGGTTATAGAACCATCCAGCTTTTTATTTCTTCATGTTAATCGTAGTCATCTATATTTTTCTAGGACTTTGCCCATTTTGCTTAAATTTTCAAATCTGTTGGCGTAAAATTGTTTTATAACAGTTTTATTACTTCAACCTCAGCTGCGATGTGGTCCTTATTTGTACTTACTATCGCTTGTTTGTATTTTTATTCCTTCAACCTCAGCTGCGATATGGTCATTTTTTGTACTTACTATCGCTTGTTTGTATTTTTATTCTTTGTTTCTTGCCAGAGTCTTTTTCAGAGAATAACTTTTGACTTTAGTAGTGCTCTCTCGTTATATCCTTGCTTTCTCTTGCAGTAATTTGGACTCTAATCTTGTTTATTTACATAGTTCATTAATTCTAAACCTTTCTGTCTTTTAATATGAACATTTAAGGCTGTGAATTTCCCTCTAAGTGTCTTTTTAGCTGTGTTTCCCATGTTTTCGCAAGTGGTATTTTAGTTATTCTTCATTTTTTTTAGTTTTGAATTTTAATATTCTATTTTAGTCTTGGCTAGAAGTATGATTTTAAATTTCCAAGCTAAGGGAGCAGAGGAGCAGTTGGAATTAGTTTTCTCTTTGTTAGAGATTTCTAACATCATTGTTCTGAGGTCAGAGAATATCATGTTTTTAGGTTTGCTGAGGCTTGCTTTGTAAGCTCATATGTGGACAGTTTTCTGAAACCCTACCTCGGTTGAAAAGATCGTGTCCTTACGTTTTGGATACCACATTCCACAGATGTCTATTACATCGGGTTTGTGGATTATGTTGTTCAGTCCTTTTGTTTGTTTGGTTTGGACTTTGATCTCTTGATTACTGAGAAAAATGTAGTAAGGTTTTTCCTTGGCTCCTTTTTAGATACTTTATTTGCCTCTTCTGTTCTGTATTTTTATTATGTGTCTTGGTATTATTATGTTTTTTGGCCTGTTTGTTCCCTTGGCTCTGGTTGATGTCTTTAATCAATTCTGGAAAGTTCTAAGCCATTATCTCTTCAAATATTTTTTCTTCTCCATTCAAACTTTTCTGTCCTTTAAGATCTCCTATTGGGTGTATGTTAGACCTTCTCACTCTATTCTTCACATCTCTTAATTTTTTTCTTTTTTATTCTCCTCATCTTTAATTGTCTGTACTGATTGGGGTAATCTCCTCAGCTCTCTCTTTTTGTTCCTTGTTTCTTCAGTTGTGTCTAATCTTGCTGAAATTTACTGTGTATTGAAATGTTATTTCAGTTGTGTTTCTTCTCCAGAAACTTTGTTTTTTGTTACTAAGTAAGGGGAAATTATTAACTTACTCTGGAATGGTATAATTCAGAAATCAGGGAAGGAGATAGTGGTAGCAGTAAAGTTCTTTCCAGTGTCTTTCCGATTATTCTGTATAGATAGAAAATCAAATCGTCAAGGATAAGATTATCCTATTGAGAACAGTGGAGCAAACAATTGAAGCCTAATATATAGGATGTGAGGTGACTAACTTGATTATTAAAAATTCCTGGCTGGGTGTGGTGGCTCCTGCCTGTAATCCCTGCACTCTGGGAGGCTGAGGTGGGTGGATCACCTAAGGTGAGGAGTTCAAGACGAGCCTGGCCAACATGGTGAAACCCCATCTCTACTAAAAATAAAAAAATTAGCTGGGCATGGTGTGCGCATGTGTGGCTTGGAAGCCCTCGCTAACAAGTCCTGGAGACACAGGCTGTCCTTCTGTTTCAGGTG
This sequence comes from Homo sapiens, assembly GCF_000001405.40. Classification (NCBI taxonomy): domain Eukaryota; kingdom Metazoa; phylum Chordata; class Mammalia; order Primates; family Hominidae; genus Homo; species Homo sapiens. The sequence goes on along the minus strand of NC_000006.12, from coordinate 540,035 downwards.
ACAGTATATCCTGTTTCATCTGTAGTTTTCTTTTTTGTGTTAATACTTCTCCTAGGAATTAAGAGGTTTTTTAAAATTAGTTATTTACTTGGCATTTATTTTGCCCCCATTTGACAAGTTGTGGTTCAGTAATATAAAGGAATGTCAGTTTGCCACCTGTCCTGCCATCCATTTGAAAAGAGCTAAAAAAAATTAATTTGTCTGAACCTAGTTATCCAGAGTCACTTGGATAGATGTTCTAATGATAGTTTGATGACCTTATTTCTATACAGATGGCCAAATTGGAATGAAAATAATTGTTTGTTGTTTATTTTCTTTCTTGGAAGCATAATTTTTAAAAAACATTATTATCAAAAAGTTTTTAAAATCACAAATTGGAAATTTTAAATTGGAAACATTAAAATACATCAAAATAATGATGTTATCTTTTAAACCATTGTGACTGTGTTGAAGACAACAGTAAAGAAGTTAGAGAAATTTGACAATCGACTTAGGCATCTCTTCTCCAGGACTGTCCATTGGGAGCACTGGCTGGCATCAGTGCCTGGTGCGTGAGATGGAAATGTTGTTGAGTGTACGTGATTGCTGCTAAGAAAGGCAGGGCGGTGGCTTATTGGGAGCACTGGCTGGCATCAGTGCCGGTGCGTGAGATGGAAATGTTGTTGAGTATATACATGATTGCTGCTAAGGTGGCAGGGCGCTGGCTTATTGGGAGTATTGTCCATTACACCAGAATTCTGCCTCCAGCATACGCCTTTTACTTCTGTAAGTTATTACCCACAGTTTTTTAATGCTTCGAAAGACCCTCCTCAGTGCTAATATGTACGAATTCAGTGAGTAAGTCTATTTCTGAATACAGATATTCCTGAACTTATGATGGGGCTACCTCCAGATAAACCCTTCCAAAATTGAAAATATCGTAAGCGCATTTTCTACTTATGATATTTTCTTTTTTTTTTTTTTCTTCAGACAGAGTCTTGCTCTGTCACCCAGGCTGTAGTGCAGTGGTGTGATCTTGGCTCACTGCAACCTCCGCCTCCCGGGTTCAAGCAATTCCTGCCTCAACCTCCCTAGTAGCTGGGATTACAGGCACCTGTCACCACAGCCGGCTAATTTTCGTATTTTTAGTAGAGACAGGGTTTCACCATCTTGGCCAGGCTGGTCTTGAACTCCTGACCCCGTGATCCACCCGCCTCAGCCTCCCAGCGTGCTAGGATTATAGGCGTGAGCCACTGTGCCCGGCCAGATATTTTCTACTTACAGTGGGTTTAACCTGACGTAGCACATCATAAGCCAGGGAACATACTGAATGCGCATTGCTTTTACACCCTGGTAAAGTGGGAAAATCATGAGTTGAACTCTCATAAGTTGGGACTGTCTGTACACAATTAAATTGTTATCTTTTTTAAAGGAGGCACTGTGTTTTTGTTAGAGACACCTGCCCTAAAAGGCCACTGGACCCTCAGGCATGTCTACTCTGCTGCCTTTCTCACCCCCATCAGTGACCCTTTAGCGCTCCGTCTCTGTTTAACCACTGCATTCCTTAAACACATCACTTTATAAGACTGATTTCCTTAGTGTCAGGATGTTTTTAAAGTTAATCTTTCTTCCTCACTCTCAGATAGCGATTAATGGTAGATGGATCTGACCCTTGCTTTTTGAGCAGGAATCAAGCAGACCCAGTTTTCTATGTTCAGCAGCCAGTGTGAACAGGGTGTTAGTGAAAATGAGGCTGTTGAGTTAATAGAAATAGCTGCTAGCATTTATTATGTATTTGCTTTCAGTGTGCTATGCAAGTTTCCTGAATTATCTGTTTAAATCCTTACAACAAAAAGTATGAGCTGTGTACTCCTGACATTGATCCTGCCTCATCACACATTAATACTGCCATTCTACTCTCTTTTTGTAGCATTTGCCTATTAACTGTTTGCACATCTATTTATTTTCAACTCCTCTTTTCCCTTCTTTTTTTAAAAAATGAGGTGTAATTTACCTACAGTAAAAGACACAAATCTTAAGCTTATGGATTGATGGCTTTTTACATATGCACACGTTCCAGCATCCACCACCAGATGAAAATACAAAACCTTCCCTTGTGCCCTGTTTGAGTAGGCTCCCTTCTCAGCAACGTTCCAGCTGCTATCTGCAGAGAATCATTTTGCCTGTCCCAGAACTTTACGTGGAGTTCCATGCAGTTTGTTGTCTTTTGTATCTGGCTTCTTTTGCTCCAAATTAATTTTTTGAGATTCATCCAGTTGTGTGTACCAGTGAGTCATTTTCTTTTATTGCTGAGTTTGGATAACCAGATTTTGTTTAATCATTCTCATGGTGATGGACATGGGGTTGTCTCCAGTTTTAGGCCTTTATGGATAAAGTTGTGGTGAATATTCCTGTAAGTCTCTTTGTGGATGTTTGTACTCACTGATCTTGGATATAAACCTTGAAGTACAATAGCTGGTCGTGGCACAAGCTGATTAGGAACTCTGAGTAGTTTTCCAGAGTGTACACTCCATCGGTCATCAACTCGAGTGTACGCTCCGTCGGTCATCATCTTGAGTGTACGCTCCGTCGGCCATCAACTCGAGTGTACGCTCCGTCGGCCGTCACCTCATGTGTACGCTCCGTCGGTCATGAACTCGAGTGTACGCTCCGTCGGCCATCAACTCGAGTGTGCGCTCCGTCGGCCGTCAACTCGAGTGTACGCTCCGTCGGCCGTCATCTCGTGTGTGCGCTCCGTCGGCTGTCAACTCGAGTGTACGCTCCGTCGGCCGTCATCTCGTGTGTGCCCTCCGTCGGCCGTCATCTCGTGTGTGCGCTCCGTCGGTCGTCATCTCGAGTGTACGCTCCGTCGGTCGTCAACTCAAGTGTACGCTCCGTCGGTCATAAACTCGGTTATAAACTGCATCCTAGCCAACACTTAATATTACCAATCTTGTTTATTTCAGCCAGTCTCATTGTTGCTTTATTTGGTTTTCCCTAACAATGATGTTAAGCACCTTTTCTTGTATATTCAGATACATTCAGGTAGCTTCTTTCTTGAAGTGCTGTTTAACCCCAGCTCATTTTTAAATTGGATCAGTCATCTTTCTATTGACGATTTTTAGAAGGCTCTAAATAAGTCCTTTGTCATGCATACATATTTTTTCAGTTCATGGCTTGCTGTTTTGTTTTTATAATATCTTTTGAACAGAATTGTTTAATTTTGATGAGATCCATTGTATCAAGCTTTTAAAATGTTTAATGCCTTTCATATGTTGTCAGAATCTTTACCTGCTTCAATGTCCTGAATATTTTTTCCCAGAAGTTTTGTAATGTTAACTTTTATGTTTAGGTCTATGATGTCTATCCTTATGCCAATATTGCATTGTTTTATTTATTATAGGTTTATAGTCAGTCTTGATATCAAGTAGTATGAGTCTTCCAACTTTGTTCTTTTTAAATTGTTTGGGCTATTTTAGGTCCTTTCCATTTATATATAAATTTTAGCCTGTGAATTTTTACCAAGAAAAGGCCTTTTAGGGGTTCATTGAATTTGGAGAAAATTACCAATATTGATGATCCTATTTATTTGTTTAGGCCATCTTTAATTTCTTTCAGCAGTGTTTTGTAGTTTCCATTAGAGATTTTCCATGTCTTTTGTTAAGTTTATTCCTAGGTATTTTATTTTTTATGGTATTGTATTATAATCCTTCGATGTCTATTATATAGAAATATAATTGATTTTTGTTATTGACTCTGCTGCCTCCATAAATTTACTTATTCCATTAGTATGTCAACCTGCTTAGAATTTCTAAATACGTAATGATGTCTTCTGTTAATAAAAACAGTTTTACTTCTTCTTTTTTGGTATTATTTCTTGCCAGATCTCATGGACTAGGACCTCTGGTATAATCTTGAAATAGTGGTGAAAGGGGACAACTTTGCCTTATTCCTGATCTTCTGGAGAAAGCACTCTATATTTGTACCATTTTGTAGATGCCCTTTACACAGCTGATTTTCTTTCTAGTCTTAGTTTACTGAGAATTTTTGTCATGAAAGTATATTGAATTTTCTCAAGTGCTTTTTCATCTGTTGAAAAAATACCACTTCTGCATGATATGTTTTTAAAATTTATTTATAGTTTCTATTTGCCAATAGTTTGTTTGGGTTTTTATGTCTTTGTTCATGAAGGCTATTGGCGTGTGATTTTTTTCTTACAATATCTTGCTCAGTTTGGATATTAGGGTTATACTGGCTTCATTAAACAAAATAGGAAATGCTTTCAGCCTCTATTCTATGAAAATGTTTGTGTGTGCTATAATTTCTTCCTTACATGCTTGGTAGAGTCACAAATGAAACCACCTGGACCTGAAGTTCTCATTGTCAAGTCCTTGTCTATAATGGATTCAATTAGTTTAATAAATATAGGACTACTTGTGCCAGTTTTTGAAGGTTGTGTTTTTCAGCAGATTAGCAATTTCCTCTATGTTGTCAAGACTTGATGGCATAAAACTGTAATGTCCTTTTACTATCCTTTTAATGTCTTCAGGATCTATAGGAATGTTTCTTTTTTCATTTCTGTTCTTGGCAATATGTGGGTTTTTTTCTTTATTTCTTCATCAGTCTTGCCCAGGAGCTTATCGTTTCTGTTGTTATTCCTTTTTAATTTTTAAAAAATTTCAAATTTTTTAAGAGACAGGGTCTTGCTCTGTTACCTAGATTGGAGTACGGTAGTTGAATCATACCACGCTGCAGCCTCGATCTCCTGGGCTAAAGTCATTCTCTCACCATAGCCCCCAAGTAGCTGGGACCACAGATGCGCACCACCATGCCTGGCTAATCATTTTTATTATTATTTCCAAAGATCCTACTTTTGGCATTGGTGGTTTTCTTTAATATTTACCTTTTTAAGATATTGATTTCTGTTCTTTATCTTTTCCTTCTATTTTCTTTGGGTTTAATTTTCTCTTTTTCTAGATACTTGGGGCAGAAAATTAGAGCAGTGATTTAAGTTTTTCTCCTTTTAAACTTTTCTTTTAAAACATTTTCAGCTATAAATTTCTAGCCACTGGTTCTCTCTTGCAGATTTTGATATGTTATCTCTTCATTGTGTGTTATTAGTATTTCCCTTTTGGATGCCTCCTTCCTTTGAAGAAATCTTACTTCACACTTGTATTTCACATGTCCAGGGAGTCTCTAATCATCTATTTCGGTTTGTGTTTATAGATACTAGAGAAAGAGAGAGATAAAGAAGGGCGAGAGGGAACTCAGAGTTATTGCCTGTCACTGTTTTCCTCAGTAGTTCATCTTCTTCGTTCTGATGTGTTTGATTTTAGGTTAGAGCCCTTTCTCATTACATGGGTGAAATACTCCTTGAACCCTTGCATATCCAAAAATATCTTTCTCGGACTCTGTTAAGAGAATGACACGCTGGCTAAATACAGGATTCTTGGGTTCTGTTCTTTCATTCCTGTAGATTTTAATCCAGTGATTTCAGCTCCCAGTACTGCATGTGAGAAATCTGACGTCAGACCAGTTCTTTCTTCTTTGTAAGTAAATTATTGTTTTGATCTAGAAGCTTGAAAGTCAGTCTGTCTCTGTCTCTCTCTCTCTCTCTCTCTCTGTCTCTCTCTCATTTAGAGTAAATGTATTAGAAACTAGAAACTTTAACAGTAGTTGCCTAGATATGTGGGCTGTCTTACCAGTCTAGCCTGGCACTCTGCAAGCCTACTCAAGTTGCAAACTTGGGTCTTTCTTTAGATCCAGTTAAATTTTCTCCTACTGCTTGTTTAATGAATACCTTTTCTCTATCTGCTTGTATTTCTTTACTTGAATTTCTATTTTTTGCATGTTAGAGCTCCTGGGTTTATCTTCTAGTCTTGTTGTTCATAGTTTTCATGTCTTTACACTTTTACTCTATGTTTTGAAGTAGTTCTTGCACTTCAGATCAGTCTCAACAGTGACCAGGAGTTCCTTGTGTTAATCTACTCATTTGTTAGCTTTGGAAGTTGTATGTTTCACCTCTGGAAATCTTGTTTTGTATTATACTTTAATCGTCATGAGGGTTTTCTTTCTTTTTTCTGTTCAAGTTGTTGCTTGTCTCTTCTGCAGCTGAGTTTCACTGCTTGGTGGATGTGCCTGTGCATAGCAGCGGACTCCCTTAGACGTGTGTTTATTTTTCACTGTAGTTCGTTGCAGCTCAGGCCTGGCATTGGAGAGAAGCCTATCCCTCTCAGGCCAGTGCTGCAGAAGCAGAACGGCCACCAGCCCCCTGCAGGGTGACCTGGGCCCACAGACTCTCCACACCCCAGACTTCCCATATCCTCCATGCTTGGGTCTCTGCCTCCCCCCTCTTCTTCTTCTGGCCTCCTGCCTGCTGGTGAGACAAGGCACACTCACGTAGGGCTGATGCCAGCCTCCTTACCCTCTTCTGCTCCCACTCCCATCGGGAGCCCCCACAGTCCATGCAGCTGAACTGTGCCAAGGACAGGACTTACTGATAGGGGTCTTTCCTGTTCCTTTTTGCCCATGACAGCGAGCGTGTGTCTGGCCTCCCTGTGGAGTTGCCTTAGACTCGAAGGCCTGACCTGCACGCCCCTCAAGCAGAGCTGTAACTGGAGGGAGAATCCAGGGGAGCCACACTGGGGTTACTGGAGTGTCAGAGCAGGCTTATTTTCTATTGGTCACACTTTTCAAATGAATTAGTTAATATGAAGAAACAGAACATGATTTTAAATGGTTCCTTTTTAATTGTAGTTTACTGGCTATTACAATTTAGTATTTATAATGCCTCTTGCTCTGTGTACAGAAATGAGTGGTTAGTATTTTCAAAAATGAATGATATGGTTAGGCTTTCTGTCCCTACCCAAATCTCCTCTTGATTTGTAATCCCCATAATCCCCACGTGTCAAGGGAGAGACCAGGTGGAGGTCATTGAATCGTAGTGGCCGTTTCCCCCATGCTCTTCTCATGATAGTAAGTTCTAATGGGATCTAATGGTTTTATAAGGGGCTCTCTTCCCCTTCCACTGGGTACTTCTCCTTCTGGCCACCTTCTCCTTCTTCTTGTGAAGAAGATGCCTTGCTTCCCCTTTGCCTTCCACCAAGACTGTAAGTTTCCTGAGGGCTCCCCAGCCATGCATAACATAATTGAGTCAATTAAACTTCTTTCTTTTATAAATTACCTAATCTTGGGCAGTTCTTTATAGCAGTATGAGAACGGACTAATACAATGACCTGTAGTCCATATATGGAGATTATTTTTTCTCCTGCAAAATAGCTATGCTAAAAGAGATCTTTGTTACTGAAAATATATAAAAGTCACGAGTTTTTGTAGGAAAATTGAGAAGTGCTTTTATTATAGTCTGAAGTATTTATTGTTAACATTATTTTACTTTTTCCATCACCCTCAAATAGGCAACTCATACTCTTCATTATGTGTTTATAGGTTAGCATGGCCTCATTGAAAGAACTAGATCAAAGACTCTTTGAAAATTACATCGAGTTGAAAGCAGATCCCATCGTTGGCTCCTTAGAACCTGGAATTTATGCAGGATATTTTGATTGGAAGGACTGCCTGCCTCCAACAGGTAAGTAATAAAGTTTCTTGAGTAATAGATGTGGATATACTTTTATCAATTGATACTTGCTTGAATTCTTTTCATTTTATTCTCATTTTTCTCATATCTACTGAGAGTGAGAGATTAATTTGATTTTAACTTTTTGTTTGCTTAAACCCATTTCTTGGATAGTTTGGAAATTGGACACTTTGTATTATTAGTGGCTTAAAGCTGTTCTTAAATTCTAGAGAATAATTAATGATAACTTGTAATAATTGATCGTTTTAGTAATGCATTCCTGCTTCCTGTGATCTTCTCACATAGATACAATAGAGTGATTGTGAGTGACAGTGGCATGCAATGACCTTGTGTACATCATCAAAAAATGTATTAAAGAAATCTGGTCACTTCTATGTAAGACCTGATTAGTGATGCTGTAAAGGCGAAGGATAGGAGAAAAGTGTGTAGGAGTAAGATTATTATAGTAATTTAGCAAAGAGAATTGAGCCACAGAAGGATGAATGACACAGTTCAAGTATTATCTTTGTGATTTCAAATGAAAGTCACTTGAATCACTTCAAAATATATATTTTTAAAATAACTATTGCTTTCTGAATCAAGTAAACTTTTGATTGATCAAATAGTTGTTTCTTTGTATGAAATAACGTGGAATACCTAAAACCAAGCTGCCTGTTGGCACTTTTGTAGAGAAGTAGTTTATGTAGAAGTGGTCATGCTGGTATCGGACACGGGTTCTTCATGGGTGTACATATGCAGATATAACAAAGCACCAGTGAGTTGTTAACAGGTTTGGTAACTTCATTGTTTTAACCAATCACTTTAACCTCCTTTTGTTTTTATTGTATGGCACTTATACTAAACGATGATAAAATTGTTTACTGTTTAAACACCTTTGGTTTTTATTGTATAGTGTTCACGTATAGTGATGCCAAAAGTGTAAACTAAAAACTGGGATCATTAAATTAGCCACAGTTACTTAATGTGACCACAGTTATTGAATTTCCTGAGCTCACAGTCATGGCAGTCATGCCAGCCCTTATTCCTCATGTGCTTTTCTGTGCACACACTTTTCTGTGCACACACTTTCTGTGCCCAAACCACATTCAGTTCATACCCTCAAAGTACATCCTTTTAAAGTTTAAGGCAGGTTCTATCAGTATCTTACTTAAAATTCTTACAACATCTTCTCATGATAGTAAAACCGGGGAAGCTGTGCTGTGCCCACCTCTGCCCTGGCACTCTGCCCACTGCCCCAATGCTCCACCTCACAGCCCCTCTCCAGCTGGACTCAACCTCTGCCTTTTTGAAAAGCTCATCCTTCTAAAATATAAATTGGATCCTGTCAATCCCCTGCTGAAAAACCTTCGAGGAGGCTCATTCTCCCTGAGGCTAACCCCAGACTTCTCAGACAAGGTAGCATCCCCACAGGTACCAGATTCCACGGATGCTCAAGTTCCCAGTGTGAAATGGTGTCATATTCGCATGTAACCTATGCACATCCTCCTGTATGCTTTAAATCATTTCTAGATTACTTATAACACCTAATACAATGCCCGTGCTTTGTGAATAGTTGTTAAACTGTATCATTTAGGGAGTCATGACAAGGAAGAAAGTTTGTATATGCTCAGTACAGATGCAGCCATCTGGGTCCCCCACCCCGGAATATTTTCCATTCATGGTTGGTTGAATCCACAGATGCAGAAGCCACTGTTGTGGAGGCCACAGATGCAGAGGCCACAGATGCAGAGGGCCAGCAGTACTCCCTGTGCTTGCTATGAGTTACTTCCCTCTCCACGGGCTCCCCCAGGCAGCAGGCAGGCTGGGTGCTTCGTGCACTGTGAACCCTGTGCCTAGTCCCTCTCACCTCTGCCCCTCTCCTAACCTCTCCTGCCCTTCCGGGCCCTGTGTCCTCTGGGAGCTCACCCAGCCCATCCCCTGCATGTCTCCAGGTCGCATTGGCCTACCTCCATTCGTGATGCTCCCAGAGCAGCTCTTGCCACTCTCTGTGCCCGCGGGAAATGTTTTGTCGTTATCTAGCTCCTTGCTGGACAGTCTCAGCACAAGGCCGTCATTTGGGTGTCTTGTTCTCAGAGTTTTTAGCATAGTGCAGTCTGTGACACTCAGCTGATGCTGTGTGTGTGTTTGTGGAGTAAATGAAGATTGGCATTTTCTATAATAATATACCATCTCTCTAAATGTGCCAGTTGCTCCTTCTCTTCTAAGTGTTTGCCATATGCTTTTGCCTGATTTTTCTCAAAATTTTCTCAGTAGGAAAGTACATTATACAGTGTTCTAGCTTCCACTGTTCTTCTGATTTGCTTTTTAATAAACAGTACACGGTGGATATTCATATTTGCTGAATGGGAATGAGTGAGAGTGCTCATTTTCTTGTCCTTTGTGAATTCTCATATGGTAGTTGCATAGACTTGCTAAATTTGAGCAGCTGCGTTTCAATTAAAATGCGACTGTCAAGTGTATCTAACACATCAGCACGTCTGTCTGTTTAACTATTTAAACTCTTACCGAACAATGTATTACCTTGCACCATGCAAAAAGTAATACATTTTTCGGTAATAGTTAAAATGAATTTTGTTAAAGTTCGTATCTTCCCCTGTGATTAGCATGTAACGACATTAACTGTTCACACATCTAACACATCAGCAATTCTATCTGTTTAGTTATGTAAACTATTACTGAACAATGTATTACTTTGCATCACCATGCAAAAAGTAATACATTGTTCAGTAATAGTTTAAATGAATTTTGTCAAAGTTCATATCTTTTCCTGTGATTCACATGTAAGTACGTTAACTGTTCACTCTGAAATCATGCTTATCTTAATTGGTTATGTTCAAGGCTATTAAATCACTTGTGATATTTCTTTGAGAATAGAAAAAAATCATGACACAGCCCCTCTGAGTTTCCTGCGCTTCAGTGATGACTATAAAAATTTAGAATGGGCCACCGAGTTTCACTCTCAACAAAGTGATTCTTCTCTGTCGTCACTGAAATCTCCGATTGTTACCGAGAAAGAGGATTTATTTGCCCCTGATGCAGAAGAAGACTTTTCTTTGCCAGCCCTCTCTCAGACCTGCTGCCTCCGTTAACAAACAGCGAGGCATCTTTAGTGTATGCCGAACACCGGCAGGGGCAGTCGAGAATGTCTGTCAGGTGAAAGGCAGGTCTTTCCCATCCACCCGCTCCAAGGTGTCTTCGGAAAACAGACATCTATGAAGGCCCATTCCCTGAAGGGCGGCGTTAGGTCACAGGACTTCAAGTGCAGGGGCTGCTGGCCATTATCACGAGGCTGTGAATCGTGTGGCAGCACTTGAGTGAGCAGTAACCAGGGCGCGGGGGGGGGTAAAAGGCAGGCGATGCCGGGCTAACGGGGATCTTAGGGTTCTTCTGCATCCGGCTAGTTACCACCACTTGGAATTTCAAAGTCCTCACTGGATTTATCTTAGGGTTCTTCTGCATCCGGCTAGTTACCACCACTTGGAATTTCAAAGTCCTCACTGGATTTATCTTAGGGTTCTTCTGCATCCAGCTAGTTACCACCACTTGGAATTTCAAAGTCCTCACTGGATTTATTTAAGGTACCCAGAATCCTGTCTCTGTGACCTTCATATTTTCCAGCCATGACATTGAACTAGACAAGCCTCGGTTGTGAATTAGGATCAGAGCCTAAATGTAATCCTGAGGTTGATCTTAATAAGAGTCTGTAACCTCAGATAATCTTCACTACAAAATTAAGATTCTTCTGGCTGTGTGACATTAAGTGGTGAGGCTTTTTTTTTTAACATAGCTTCGTTTATTGGTTTTGTTTTTTTCCTGACAAACTTTCTTTCATAAGCAAATGGCACATGGCACCATACTACCAGCAATTTATTTACTCTTCCTCAGATTCCAAAAACATGTAGAAGTCATCGGTGCTCGTTTCACTTTTATAAACTCTATTTAGTTCTGTTCTTTGTGTAGTTTTGACTTCATGATTACTAACTGAACCTCAGCCTTGCATAGTCATATAGTGATTTTTAGTTTGTTTAAAGCTGACTTAAGTTGAGACCTTGTGTAAAGTGAGCAGCCAAAATAGTTTGACTATTAATCTTCCAAAATAATTTCAATTAACAACTTTAGTATTATCTTCAGAGTTTACTTCTTCAGAAACTGAATTTTGCAAATCATGTAGGTAACTGATTACTTATTGCTGTAGTTACCAATAAATTTAGTTTCCGATACTGTATGTAGTGATTAAAAAAAAAAATCCAGTTGATTAATTTCATGATTCAACAAGAGATATCCGTTAAAGCCGTAGCGATGTTTTTTTAAATCTTACCGTTGGGTATTTAAATTGTTGTCACCTCTTTATTTGTGTATATGTCAGTAAAGATTATTCTAGTTAGTTCTGAGTCACAAAACTGCTGTTAAGATTTTAATTGTTCTGTTATCTGCAATTATTAAGAGTTCTTAGTATTTGAATTTTATAAATTTTAAATAAGAATACTGTTGGTCTTTACTTACAAATACACATTGAAGTTCACGTCTTTGAAACATTAAATAAGAAAAAAGTATTATTTAAGTTTTCTGTTAAATACTGGTTTTATTTTTTCTATCAAAAAGTCATAAAAATTTAAATTAATGTATATTATTTAAAGTTATTTACTAAGTGAATCTAAACTTAATCATTTTCTATAGGTAAATAGTGAACTTATTTTTGATTCAAATGTGCTTATACTAATTATAGTAATTGAAATTATAATGGGAAAGGGAAAACTTTATATAATTTGTGACATGAGTATGTCTAGGACCATTCTAAAAATAACAGCAGAGTTGGTTGCTTCCATGTATGATGCATATAACCTAGAGTAGGGTAACCTCCTGCCCGTCAGTGGTGTGCCAGAGCACAGGCTTGGGGTGCACAGTCCATCAGTGAGCGAAACTTGTAAGTGTGTTGTCCAGGCAGTGTGCCAAGCAGCATATTCCAACAAATTGAAGAGAAAGAAAATGTAAGTCTAATTATGGAGACAGAGGCAGAAGCACAGCTCTTCTCAAGTCTATGTTTGTTGAATTTTATTTTAAGATCTCTGCCTTTTGGAATGTATCTTGCAGATGTTTTCACTGAATTTTACAAGAGACATTGCACAATTAGGTTATCTCTTGCATCCTGTAACTTAAATCATTCAAAGCTCAGGTCCAGCGTAGAATTTCTAGAGAATAAGAAAAATGCTACAAGAATGGAGATAAGGAGAAATTGTAATTTTTGTTTGATTTTCAAAAAATGGAAAACTGCAGACAGACCTCAAAGTTTAATGTAGCTCTCTGAGAAAATGGACCATTAAAATGTTTTCAGGTCCTTATAAAATAAGTTGTATGTTACATGTATATGTGAATTTATACATATATTCCTTATACATGCATTTATATACACACATTACTAGGTACCCATGTTTAGTAACGTAGTCAGCATTTATTGCATATATACCATGTGCAAGGCAGAGGGCTTTGCATAAATCACCTGATTTAATCTATATAACAGCACCTCAAGGAGTAAGCAGTATTTTTATTCTCATTTTATAGATGAAGCCACTGAGCACAAAGAAGTTAAGTGACTTGCTCAAGTTCATGTAGCTAGGAAATGGTGAGGTAGGGGTTCCGAGTTCAAATCCAGGCAGCCCTTAATTTTAGGCATTGTGCTGTGTTGCTAGACAATAAACAGCCTCCATTAGAAATCCACGAAGAGCCGGGCGCGGTGGCTCACTCCTGTAATCCCGGCATTTTGGGAGGCTGAGGCGGGCGGATCACCTGAGGTCGGGAGTTCAAGACCAGCCTGACCAAAATGGAGAAACCCCATCTCTACTAAAAATATAAAATTAACCGGGCACGGTGGTGCATTCCTGTCATCCCAGCTACTCGGAAGGTTGAGGCAGGAGAATCGCTTGAACCCAGGAGGCAGAGGTTGCCGTGAGCCGAGATTACGCCATTGCACTCCAGCCTGGGCAACAAGAGCGAAACTCTGTCTCAAAAAAAAAAAAAAAAAAAAAAAAATCCACAAAGAAAAAGGCAGATGTGCTGGTAGAATAGACACAAGTTCATGAAATTCACAAAATAACTAATATGGCCAATAAATATAAGAATAGGATAAAATTCATCAATTCTCAAAGAATGTAATTTAAAATACCATTAGGGTATCATTTTATTAAAACCCTCTGGATTGACAGATACTGTAAAGCTTGATAATACCTGCTTTTTGGCAAAGGTACAGAGAAAAAAACTATTCCGTCATCTTTCTAGGAGTGTAAATTGGCCCATCTATACACATACGTGTGTGTGCGTGTGTGTGTATGCACACATTTATATGTATAGAATTTACTTAGAAATTTTGTGTCTAAGAATTTGTCTTAAGGAAAGTTTTACAGAAGTAAGTAAAGAATTATGTACAGTGATGTTTATTGAAACATTTTTTAATATATGTAGAATCTGAAAAACTAAATGCCCATCAGTAGTGAATTGGTTAGATAATTTGTTATATATCTAAACAAATATTATACTTTCTTTATAATGGATGAGATGGATAGATGGATAAGTAAATGCATACCTATATGTGGGGGACTGTACATATATTGGTAGAAAATGTTGATTAAGGAGACATGCATTCATTCTTTCCTCATTTTTATTGAAAAAGACAATGTATCTATTTCATATGTACAATTTGACATGTATACACATATCTTGAAAGGGGATAAGAAGGAGCATGCTAGAAAACTTTAATTTTCTACTTTAAAATTTTGTTTTTAAAAATATTGGGGCAGAATAGATGTATTTTTATTTTAAAAAAAGAAATTTCTATATTTTAAAGAAATGAAAAACTTCATGGAGACAGCATACCCACAAAGAACAGGCACATGCAGTACTAACTTGTTTTCTTCTTGGACACACACTTGATTTGATAGAGAAATGGCATACATGGTGAATTTAGGTTTCTGCAAGTCATTTGACAGTTTTTCCTGATATTTTCAGGAGTCCTAGTTGCTGACTTATTGCCATCATGTCTTCATGTCAGTCTAGAGGAAAGCCTCTAGTCATTGCAAGAACACTCATTGAACAATGTTCAACATTTTATTAGACATTTGAAAATGGAATAAATTCCACTTTGGGTAAATTTGTGAAGAAAAACCTAGTAAAGTTAGCTTAGTAGTAGCACTATCTTACACTTAGAAAGTTTTTACAATGCCTTTATGTAAGCCTGTGATGGAACTATCCTAAAATTAATGATAAAATGTAGCATGCTTTCTTAATTAGAACTACCACAGAATAAAAAGTGCAAGCTTCAGAGGAATTTTGGTTTCAGTAATAGAGGAAGAACTTATCAGACTAACCGTTCCACAGTTAAAAATTGAACTCTGCACAGAATATAGAAACCCAGCTGTGAGAAGCACTGGAGAGCCGTCAAAAGCCGACAGACTGGAGGGGGCGCTTGAACCCTTGCAGGAGGGGAGCTTGCACCAGCCAGATCTGAGGGCCATCCACGACTGCAGCAGGTGCCCAGCACTCCTGCAGAAGGCACAGAGGGATGCAGCCAAAGAAACACTCGATGGAAACTTGAATCTAAAGGAAGGAATAAAAAGAATCAGAAATGGTTGATATGTGGGAAAATAGAAAAGACAAACTTTTTGGGTTTTGACTTTTGATTTTTTAAAAGATGATTAAATATAGAAAAATTTCTATATTTATTAAGTTGAATTCACAATCAAAGACCTTTCTTTGTGGAAAATTCCAAGTCCAAATGGTTTTACTGATAAGTTCTATGTAACATTTAAGGAATAAATAATACCAATTTTATACAAACTTTATCAGAAAATATAATAGGAAGCATATTCAATCTTATTTTATGAAACCTGCATAACCCCAAATCAAAAATGTGACAAGAACATTACAAGGAGAGAAAATTACAGACTAGCGTCCCTCATGAACGTTGGAACAAAAAATTGTAACAATTATTTTTAGCAGATCAAAGCACTATTGTCCATGCAGTGGAACACTAATTCATTATGACTAAGTAGGGCTTCTTTTTTTTAATGTTTGAAATTTTTGTTTTATTTATTTTTATTTTATTTCATTTTCCTTTAAGTTCTGGGACACATGTGCAGAGCGTGCAGGTTTCTTACATAGATACAGATGTGCCGTGGTGTTTGGTAGTCATGGGACGACCAGAGGCAGGAGCCATGCTGACCTCTTCACAAGATGACACCTCTACGTAATTACAGTCATTGCCGAGTCTGGTGGTTCTTCCCCATACGTAAATGTCCTAATGAATGACCGAATAAGGATTATAAGACATTTTTCTTTCCACTCAGCATATATTGCTCTTACTTTTCTATCAATAAAAAAATAAATCCATAAGCAGAGCTACCCCCTCTGTTTAACATAATCAAACTTCAAGTTCTCCTCCCTTTGCGGCTTTTTCAGTTTTGGTGGAAGCATCTAGATATATTGTAATGTCTTAGTTCAGCTCTGCACCCCACCCACACCTTCATACTACCCCAAACATCACCTTCAAATAATAACATTGTATTCACGTTATCAATTCAGCGGAAAATAGAGGTAGTTTTCCATTCCCCATTGTACATTTTTAAGAGGAATTTAGAAAGCTGCATTTTAATCATATGAGTTAGTGATATCACCAATAAGGTCATTTGAGGCCAGGGCTTCAGGGTTATAGTGAGCTATGATTGCACCACTGCACTCCAGCCTGGGCAACAGGGAGAGACCCTGTCTCAAAAAACAAACAATTTTTTTAAAAGAACTGATTATACTTTGGCACCTGCCAAAATAAACCATACATTCATTGCCCTGTTTAAACTTAGTCTAACTTGAATTCATAGATATGAAAATATACATGTTTGAAACAGCAAGAGTAGAATAAAGTGAAATTAATCTCTTAATCTGTATACTCAATGTCTACAAAATACTTCATGTACAGATAGAAAGTACATTTTTCATTCATAAAGTCAACAAATATTACCAAGTCTATACTATACAAAGCACTGTCCAAGTTTTCCAAGTTGTTCAAATAGCAGTTTCTGATTTCCAGGTTTAAAGCATAAATAGAGAAGCCGACAGTTCTGTGCGTAGGAGGTGGACGCACTGCGTTCTCACTTAACCAAGGTGGTAAGCACGAGTGTGCTCCCTCAGCATCTGGGGAGCCAGGGTACTGATCTCAAGAGTGTGCCCTGAATGTTCTCCATTTGAAGGACACCAAACTGGTAGCACTTGGACACACCCCCTTGGCCAGCAGAGGCTCTAAATGTCCCTTTCTGCATAGCGCCATCCCATCTCTGGTTTCTTTATCTTACCTATCAGATTTAGATTTTCAGATGTTACCTGTCAGAACAGATTTTTTTTTCCCTATCTGATCTCTTCCTCTCCAGTCTCACTCCCTCAAATCCTGCTGAAATATTCTTTCGAAGTTCATTTTTGTTCAGGTTTCTTCTTTCCTCACAGCCATTTCATGGCGCCTGGCCTTTGGAGGAAAACAGCTTTAGTACTGGTCATGTGCTGACCTGCTTAGCTCTGAAGCCTCATCTCTTCATACCAGCCGTTCCTGGTCATCTGTACTCAGTCTACACTGGGCCATTGCTAGTCCTCAAAGACCCAGCATTCCCTTTCCCAGATGCCCTCAAGCACACTGCTGCCTTCACTTGACCTTCCTTTCATCCCCTCAGACCTGGCTGAGGCCTGGAGACACCTTGCTGCACCATCATTTCACCTGAGCCCAGCCCAGCTCAATGCTCCCCCACACGCTGTCCTGCAGTCCGCATGGACCTGCCTGAGACCTGGAGACACCTTGCTGCACCATCATTTCACCTGAGCCCAGCCCAGTTCAATGCTTCCCACACACTGTCATGTCGTCCACGTGGGCCTGGCTGAGGCCTGGAGACACTTTGCTGTCCCCATCAGTTCACTTGAGCCCAGCCCAGTTCAGCGCTCCCCACACGCTGTCCTGCAGTCCGCATGGACCTGCCTGAGACCTAGAGACACCTTGCTGTCCCCATCATTTCACCTGAGCCCAGCCCAGCTCACAGTGCTCCCCACACGCTGTCCTGCAGTCCGCATGGGCCTGGCTGAGGCCTGGAGACACCTTGCTGTACCATCATTTCACCTGTGCCCAGCCCAGCTCAATGCTCCCCCACACGCTGTCCTGCAGTCCGCGTGGACCTGCCTGAGGCCTGGAGACACCTTGCTGTACCATCATTTCACCTAAGACCAGCCCAGCTCACAGTGCTCACCACACACTGTCCTGCTGGTCCACCTGTCTGGATGTGAACCCTCCTGCTTGTGTCTCCTCTCTGTATCCATGATTAGCCAGGCACCTGGCTTGGAGTAAGCATCCAGTAATAGATTTATTCAGTTATTAGTTGATTAGCTAATGCCTTGGTAAGGGTTACTCAAGCCATAGATGATAGGTGAAAATGAACATCAATAAAATACGAAATTTACCCTTGGGTTTTTTATATTAATAGTTATTTTCAACAGAAAGTCAAATTGAGTCAACTATTTTTTATTCAATAAATGTCAAAAAGAGAACTTTGGTTTATTAATTAGGATAAATAACCAAAAATAACATGGACACCCCATTTACAAAGAATTCGAGACCAGGCATGGTGGTTCACACCTGTAATCCCAGCACTTTGGGAGGCTGAGGTAGGTGAATCGCTTGAGCCCAGGAGTTAGAGACCAACCTGGGCAACATAGTGAGACCCCATCCCTACAAAAAAACACAAAAATTAGCTGGGCATGGTGGCACATACCTGTGGTCCCAGCTACTCAGGAGGCTGAGGTGGGAGGATCACGTGAGCCTGGGAGGTCAAGGCGTGGTGAGCCAAGATCCCATCACTGCACACCAGCCTGGGTGACAGACAGACCCTGTCTCAGGAAAAAAAAAAAAAAGAATTCAAATGCTATAAAATACTGTAACACCAAAGATCTCCTAAATGTAGTTCTACCTTTCTTCATTATTCTAAAGACACTTTGAGCCCCACAGAATTTTAAGGCTACCATCATGAACATCATATTCCTAGTGCTGTTTGTTGGGACACTTTTCAGAATCTGTTTTTGTCTCCGAGTGTGGACAGTGACTGTCGGCACTCAGTGCGTGGTGGTTTTCATCTCCGAGTGTGGACGGTGAGTGTCGGCGCTCGGTGGGTGGTGGTTTTCGTCTCCGAGTGTGGACGGTGCGTGTCGGTGCTCAGTGGGTGGTGGTTTTCATCTCCGAGTGTGGACGGTGAGTATTGGCAGTCAGTGGGTGGTTGTTTTCATCTCCGAGTGTGGACAGTGAGTGTAGGCACTCGGTGGGTGGTTGTTTTCATGTCCGAGTGTGGACGGCGAGTGTCGGCGCTCGGTGGGTGGTGGTTTTCCTCTCCGAGTGTGGACGGCGAGTGTCGGCGCTCGGTGGGCGGTTGTTTTCATCTCCGAGTGTGGACGGTGAGTATCGGGGCTCGGTGGGTGGTTGTTTTCATCTCCGAGTGTGGACGGTGAGTGTTGGCGCTCGGTGGGTGGTGATTTTCATGTCCGAGTGTGGACGGTGAGTGTTGGCGCTCGGTGGGTGGTGGTTTTCATCTACGAGTGTGGACGGTGATTGTTGGCACTCAATAGGTGGTGGTTTTCATCTCCGAGTGTGGACGGTGAGTGTTGGTGCTCGGTGGGTGGTGGTTTTCATGTCCGAGTGTGGACGGTGAGTGTCGGCGCTCCGTGCGTGGTTGTTTTCGTCTCCGAGTGTGGACGGCGAGTGTCGGCGCTCGGTGGGTGGTTGTTTTCGTCTCCGAGTGTGGACGGCGAGTGTCGGCGCTCGGTGGGTGGTGGTTCTCGTCTCCGAGTGTGGACGGCGAGTGTCGGCGCTCGGTGGGTGGTGGTTCTCGTCTCCGAGTGTGGACGGTGAGTGTCGGCGCTCGGTGGGTGGTGGTTCTCGTCTCCGAGTGTGGACGGTGAGTGTCGGCGCTCGGTGGGTGGTGGTTCTCGTCTCCGAGTGTGGACGGTGAGTGTCGGCGCTCGGTGGGTGGTGGTTCTCGTCTCCGAGTGTGGACGGTGAGTGTCGGCGCTCGGTGGGTGGTGGTTCTCGTCTCCGAGTGTGGACGGTGAGTGTCGGCGCTCGGTGGGTGGTGGTTCTCGTCTCCGAGTGTGGACGGTGAGTGTCGGCGCTCGGTGGGTGGTGGTTCTCGTCTCCGAGTGTGGACGGTGAGTGTCGGCGCTCGGTGGGTGGTGGTTCTCGTCTCCGAGTGTGGACGGTGAGTGTCGGCGCTCGGTGGGTGGTGGTTCTCGTCTCCGAGTGTGGACGGTGAGTGTCGGCGCTCGGTGGGTGGTGGTTCTCGTCTCCGAGTGTGGACGGTGAGTGTCGGCGCTCGGTGGGTGGTGGTTCTCGTCTCCGAGTGTGGACGGTGAGTGTCGGCGCTCGGTGGGTGGTGGTTCTCGTCTCCGAGTGTGGACGGTGAGTGTCGGCGCTCGGTGGGTGGTGGTTCTCGTCTCCGAGTGTGGACGGTGAGTGTCGGCGCTCGGTGGGTGGTGGTTCTCGTCTCCGAGTGTGGACGGTGAGTGTCGGCGCTCGGTGGGTGGTGGTTCTCGTCTCCGAGTGTGGACGGTGAGTGTCGGCGCTCGGTGCGTGGTGGTTCTCGTCTCCGAGTGTGGACGGTGAGTGTCGGCGCTCGGTGCGTGGTGGTTCTCGTCTCCGAGTGTGGACGGTGAGTGTCGGCGCTCGGTGCGTGGTGGTTCTCGTCTCCGAGTGTGGACGGTGAGTGTCGGCGCTCGGTGCGTGGTGGTTCTCGTCTCCGAGTGTGGACGGTGAGTGTCGGCGCTCGGTGCGTGGTGGTTCTCGTCTCCGAGTGTGGACGGTGAGTGTCGGCGCTCGGTGCGTGGTGGTTCTCGTCTCCGAGTGTGGACGGTGAGTGTCGGCGCTCGGTGGGTGGTGGTTCTCGTCTCCGAGTGTGGACGGTGAGTGTCGGCGCTCGGTGGGTGGTGGTTCTCGTCTCCGAGTGTGGACGGTGAGTGTCGGCGCTCGGTGGGTGGTGGTTCTCGTCTCCGAGTGTGGACGGTGAGTGTCGGCGCTCGGTGGGTGGTGGTTCTCGTCTCCGAGTGTGGACGGTGAGTGTCGGCGCTCGGTGGGTGGTGGTTCTCGTCTCCGAGTGTGGACGGTGAGTGTCGGCGCTCGGTGGGTGGTGGTTCTCGTCTCCGAGTGTGGACGGTGAGTGTCGGCGCTCGGTGGGTGTTGGTTCTCGTCTCCGAGTGTGGACGGTGAGTGTCGGCGCTCAGTGGGTGGTGGTTCTCGTCTCCGAGTGTGGACGGTGAGTGTCGGCGCTCGGTGGGTGGTGGTTTTCGTCTCCGAGTGTGGACGGTGAGTGTCGGCGCTCGGTGGGTGATGGTTTCCCTGTCACCCACCCATCCCTCACGCGGTTCTGTGTCCTTGTCATTGAGTACTTGGCACTTTACGACTTCTGCTTTTGATCAAAACGGATACCAGTTGAGTGGACTTCATCTCTGAAGAGGGAAGCCTAAGTCAATAATCTTTTTTTCTTTACTGAACTCTGATGGAAAACTATCAATCCCTAGGACTATTCTGAATTACATTTACGAAGTTTGGAGGTAGATATTAATAGTCTTGTACTTAATCTCTTTAAAGCAAAAAGGAATTTTACATTTTCTAAAGGAGTATAATTTTCATTGGTCATCTTTTTTTAAGAAAACAACAGTTTCATTAATCTTGCTTGTTTTCAGATATTTTCTTCTTCTTTATAAGCTGTTTGATATATTAGAGTCAGTGCTGTAAAACCATTTGTCCAATGCTTTAGGCATTTGGTTATAGTTTCTTTGTCTGCCAAGCATTTTTCAATAAAGCTAGTTGTTGGCTCAAATGGTCTTAAATGTGAAATTTATTAACTTCAAGATGACCCGTGGCCTACATATTTTCTTCATTGCATGTCTTATCTGCTAAAGTATTTATTTTATTATGTTTTAAATTGATAGCTATAAACTATGCTGTTTGGCATCAGGGTAAACTAACATACTATTGTACAAATAAACAGTCCAAGTCATTTAAAAACTTTTGGTTATGGAAATTTTGAGACATATCTCCAAACCGAACAGTCTGACAAATCCAGTTGACCTGTTGGCCGACTTAAGCAGCGATCATCTCACAGCCAGTCTTGTCTGATCTGTGCCCCTGGGCTCCCCACTGCCTCTGAGATCTGTTATTTTGAAGTAAATCCCAGATATTCGATCATTTCATCCATACACAGATAAGATAAGGACTGATTTTTTTTAAAGAAACGTAATCATAATACCATTATGAGATCTGGAGAAAGTTAACAGTAATTCCTTAATTTTATCAGCTATTTAGTCAATGTTCAAATTCTCGTAGAAGCTTTTTAGACAGTTTGTTCGTATCAGGATTCAGTCAAGGTCCACACATTACTTTTGGTTGATATGTCTCTTAATTAAGAAAAATAAACCTCTCTTGAGTCACTTTTGGTGCTCAGTGAAGTGGTTGTTTGCCTGTTACCCACCCATCTTTAAATGAATAAATCGGGTTTTTTGTTCTGTAGATTTTCTCATATTCTATATTTTTCAGATAGCTTCCTCATGGTGTCATTTAACCTGTTCCTTTGTCCCTTATGTTTCCTATAAATTTGTGGTTAATAATGAAGCTATCAGTTTGAGGTTTGATTTTATATTGTTTACTTCCATCAGGAGATACCTTATGTTTGGTTGTCTCTGCTTTTGATGATAAGATTGAAAATTGAATTCAAGTGTTATCAGCTTGGTATACCCTTTAAAAGTTCACCATAAACTTTTCATCTAATGGTTTTAGCACCATTGGTAATTGTTTTCATAATCTATTTCTTATTAGAAATTGAAAATAATAATTGTTAGCTGGAACACTAAGTTTTTTTCATTAAGCTCTGAAGTACAGTTCATACAGGAGGGGCAGGATAGATGCCTGATTAGTTAGCAGTTTTCAGAATGAGTTGGTTTGCTAGTATTTCTCAAAGGTCATTACTAAGGTATTTTTTTATTTTTTGATTACCTTTATGAAGTCATGATGTAAACATAATTTGATGAGCTTCAATTCATTGTAGTTGATTTTTTTTTAATTTAGTTGTGCCCTCTTTGTGGGAGTCTCTTCAGGTGGGCCCTGGGTCCTGACAGTACAGCCTCGCCATAGGGTGCCATGTTCCACACTCATGCTGGTTTCCTTGCTTCGTAGAATCAGCCGTTGGGAGGAATTGATGGAATATGAAATATGAACATCTTCCTTCTTCTCTTTTATTTCTTTCCACACTGTGTCTCTGTCCACCCTGTCTACCCCCAACTGGCTTTTTCTAACCCCATAGCTCTCGTTCAGTCTCACCCCAAAGTCAGTTCTACAGCTGGGCGGGCTGTGGCAGCATCAGTCATGGTCCCTTCTCATATTCCAGCAGCACCACCACTTCCATTCAGGTCATTGCCAGCTGGACCTGCTCCCACCAGGCAGGTGAGAAAGGCTGCCTGCGTTCCCTCTACCGTGGTCTCTCCGTCAGTGAGGCGCTGGGGAAGGTGTGTGTGTTTCTTCTGTCATATTCTATATCTGTACTAGGAACTCTGAGAATTTAGGCTTCTGAGGTGCTATGGAAAGCATTAGGGATTTTTTGTCACTTGACCTGGTTTTGTTTATCTAATTATGGAGGGACTCTCTCCAAAACTCATTTACATGCTTCACAGCTGTGTGCCCTGTGGTACACAGATAGTGACAGATACTTGCGTAGATGCTACCGTCTTGGCATCCTCTTCCCCCAGCCCAGCTATTATTTCCTCCTGGTCTTGGCTACATTTGGTGTGAATGTTAGCCCTGAATTTGTTGCTGTTCTTAAACAGTTTAGTCAGAAGACTTCGTGGGGCATTGGAAAACCTGCCTTTCTTTTGATCCCTTGGCTTCAGGCCTGCCCTGCAGAGCCAGGGAAGCCTCTGGTGTCTGCACATATGATGACAGCTCAGCCAGCTGTGCCACACAGCTCTGTTGGGCCGGGGCTAGGGGTGCAGTGATGGAGCTAGACGAGCTAGCTCTGTGCGTGGGAACATTGAAAGCTGACAACGAGCGCTGCAGTTTGGATCATCTTCATGTACGCGTGGCCTAGCAGCTGTCTTCCCTCTCCTCCAGTGCCGCCCCAGAACCAGAGCCTTAGGTCACAGTTAGAAATGCGTATTCTCCCAGCGTCAGGAGCAAAGATGGCCTGCTAGAACAAAACCACTTGATTAGTATCTTTGCCCTCTGCGGTAAGGTGAGATTTAATGAAACGCTTTCAGGACTGTCTCAGTATTTGGATGGGTGGAGTGCACTGGAGTAGCGTAGGGTTATAGACAGTTCCAGATTATTCCTTTGAACTGGAAAACTGAAAAACGTTCTGCTTTCCCAGTTATTTATAACATGCCTCACAGTAGACAGCTGAGGCTCCAATGATTTCCAAATGTTATGGTTGGACTTCCTAACAAACCAAGTCACCATACGCCTTGGTAGTTTAGTCGCTGGTGAACAGAATCTAAGGGATTAAATCACAACAGTGAACCTAAGGACGGGCAAGTTTTCTAAAAGAAACCCCCGGAAGCCACTTGGTGCTCACTGCAGATACCCACCAGCTGTGTGCGTCTCTCCTTTGTTGTTGGAAATCGTTGTATGATTACAGTCACTCTGGCTTCTCGCTCCCTCCTAGGACCGCCCCAGCTGTGTGCGTCTCTCCTTTGTTGTTGGAAATCGTTGTATGATTACGGTCACTCTGGCTTCTCGCTCCCTCCTAGGACCGCCCCAGCTGTGTGCGTCTCTCCTTTGTTGTTGGAAATCGTTGTATGATTACGGTCACTCTGGCTTCTCGCTCCCTCCTAGGACTGCCGTGTGCCCTGTCACCCTAGCACCCTGGAGCCACACTGGCTGCATTCAGCCCTGAACCTGCTGTCTGTGCTCAGGGCGTCAGGGTATCAGTCCCTGGGTAAGCCTGCCTCCTGCTGTGGTGCCGACATTCTAAGGATTGTAGAGAGCAACAGCCATGACAGGAAAGCAGGGGACAGACGGGGAGGACAGAAGACTGTGTGGACAGGACGGACAGATGTTAAGACATGAACTTTTTTTCATGTATTTTCATTTACCTTCAATGCCCACATTTCCTAACCTACCTTCCTGGTTTTGTTTGCGTGTTTGTTTTTCTTTGTTTCTGGGGTAGGGTGAGGTGGAGTGGGGTGGAAGTAAGTTATAGTTCTTAATTGCCAACCTGGGGCAAGGGAAAAGTAATTCTTAGAGCTCAGCTGAAAAATGTGTATTCCAAGTATTCCTGCTGTTATACCATAACAATGTTATAAATTTGTTTCTGGCATGATACTGTATAAAAGCCAATATCTTTATAGTTTCATCAAAAGCAACATAATTCAAATGCCTTTATTATGGCTAGAACTGAAAGCAGTTTTAAGAACTGTTCGTTTAGAGCGAAGCCACCAGTGCCTAATGTTTTCTTTTAAGCTGTTTGCATGCGCCGATCTGGTCATTGGCTTCTGGAACTTCATGGAGAACTCCCTGCCCTCAGAGGGCCCTGCCTCCCTGGCTCCCTCGCTCCCCTCCGACTCCGCCCTCCTCCCCTCCTCCTGGGACATCACGGGGCTTGACCCAGGGCCTGCCTGCTGGTTCTCTGTCCTTTGGGCTCCTCCCCCACACATCTGCCTGTGGTGTGTGCTCCTCCCCTGGCCTCTGCGTCCCTTGGGCTTCTCCCATAGACATCTGCCCCAGGGGCGACCCCTTTGGCCTCCCTGGAGCCCCTGGAGCAGCTGTGTCTTCACAGCCCTCGCCCTGCAGCTCCTAAGAAAGCCTCACATGCACACCAGGGGCTCCAAACCACGCGCTCAGAGCATGGGAAAGTGGGAGCAGCGC